>NT_187681.1:0-218612 GCF_000001405.40 Homo sapiens
GATCCGCCCGCTTCGGCCTCCCAAAGTGCTGGGATTACAGGTGTGCGCCACCGTGCCCAGCCTATTGTTATTTACCACTGACCACAGCGCAACACCATTGTCCGTCTCCAGAAAGAGGCCTTCAGTGCCGTGAGCGCATGTCAGATCTCTGCCATCTTCTCAAAGCACACTTTGAACAGTATCTTTTAAAAGTTCACTTTTGGGGCCAGGCAAGGTGGTTCATGCCTGTAATTCCAGCACTTTGGGAGGCTGAGGTGGGAGGATCTCTTGAGCCTAGGAGGTTGAGGCTGCAGCGAGCCACGTTTGCGCCATTGCGCAGCCTGGGCGACAGGATGAGACCCTGTCTCAAAACACCACCACCAAATTCACATTAGCCTACAGTTGGGCAAAACCATCTAACACAAACCCTATGTATAAAAAAGGATTGAATATCTCATGTAATTTATTGAATACTGTATGAAAGTGGAAAACAAGGTGATTGGGCACTTGATGTACGATTTCTACTGAGTGCGTGTTGCTTTCATGCCATTGTAAAGTCAAAAAATCGTTCAGCTTCACCATCACAAATTGGAGACTGTCTATACTTATTTACAGATAAGGAAACTGTGGCGTGGAGAGGTTGTCAGTTAGCCTAAGTCCCGGAGCTCCCGAGAGGTGGAGCTGGAGCTTGAACTGTGTCGGTTTGCCCCTGAGATGCCTGCCTGCCACCTTTCTGCCTCTGATTGCCTGGAGCACCAGGCAGCCAGGTTATGCTTCTGCCTGGAGGGAGCAGTCTCATTTAAAAACAAGAAACAAAACGCATGCTTATTGGTTTGTCTTTCCTGTGACTTCTCTGTGCCCCTTTGCATTTGATGAGTCACTGGGGTGTTGCTTTATGATGGTGACAGACCCTCTGTTGGGGCCTCTCACCTGGGTCGCCTGTGTGCCGGCTGGTGCCGCACGAAGGCCAGCCTTTCCTTACAGATGCTGCCTTGGCTACACCGACCCTCCCTGTGGCTTCTCCCATCGCCTGAAGTCCCCACCAAACCCCTATACGATACTGAGGTTTTAAAGCTTTTGAAATTATGTTTATCCCGTTAACCCCTTGTAGTTTATTTTCTTGTGAGATGGGTCTCCATCATTCCTCGCATCGATTACCAAATATGTTCTAGAACATTTATGAGGTAATGCTTTTTTCTCCTTGCAATGCATCGTCAACTGTATTCTCAAATGTTTGTATGTTTTTTTTTTTTTTTGAGACAGAGTCTCACTCTGTCCCCCAGGCTGGAGTGCAGTGGCGCGATCTTGGCTCACTGCAAGCTCTGCCTCCCGGGTTCACGCCATTCTCCTGCCTCAGCCTCTCGAGTAGCTGGGACTACAGGTGCCCGCCACCACGCCTGGCTAATTTTTGGTATTTTTAGTAGAGACGGGGTTTCACCGTGTTAACCAGGATGGTCTCCATCTCCTGACCTCGTCATCTGCCCGCCTTGGCCTCCTGAAATGCTGGGATTACAGGCATGAGCCGCTGTGCCCGGCCCAAATGTTTGTATGTTTTTACAGACTCCTTCTGTGCTTTCTAGTCTGTTCTATGAAAATGTTGATATGTTTATTTTTAGTTATTAGGAAGTAACTGGGCAGGTCTTCCTAATAGCGTTTATTCTTGTGACTTTCTTGTCTAGGCTTGTCCTTACTTAAATGTTTTAAAAGATTAAAAAAGTTAAAGAATGTAGTTTAAGGCCAGGTGCGGTGGCTCACGCCTGTAATCCTAGCACTTTGGGAGGCCGAGGCGGGTGGATCACGAGGTCAGGAGTTTGAGACCAGCCTGGCCAATATGAAACCCTGTCTCTACTAAAAATATAAAAAAATTCCCTGAGTGTGGTGCTGGGCACCTGTAATCCCAGCTACTTGGGAGGCTGAGGCAGCAGAATCACTCGAACCCGGGAGGTGGAGGTTGCAGTGAGCCGAGATCGCACCATTGCACTCCAGCCTGGTGACAGCAAGACTCTGTCTCAAAAAAAAAAAAAAAAAAAGGTTTAAGAAGTTAATTATAAAACATTGCCCCTGCCTTGCCCACATTTCTAAACCTGAGTGAATTATTTTCATTTTATAGCTGTTTCTTCTTAAAAATTTACTTTAAGAATGATTGCTTTTTAAGTCTAAATTGTGTGTTCCTACTATTTATGGGTGTTCTTTCCCCCATTTAGTCATTACTTATTGACTTTTTTTGAGACGGGGTTTCGCTCTGTTGCCCAGGCTGGAGTACAGTGGTGGGATCTCGGCTCACTGCAACCTCTGCCTCTCAGGTTCAAGTGATTCTCCTGCCTCAGCCTCCCGAGTAGCTGGGCTTACAGGAGCCTGCCACACTCCCGGCTAATTTTTTGTATTTTTATTAGAGACGGAGTTTCACCATGTTGACCAGGCTGGTTTTGAACCCCTGACCTCAACTGATCTGCCCTCCTCGGCCTCCCAAAGTGCTGGGATTACAGGCGTGAGCCACCGTGCCTGGCCTGTTTATTGATGCCTTACTCTAGAAGATGAGTCTTTTAACTCTTGCTCAAGTTTCTCTTCTCCTGTACTTGTATATGTGTAATATTTTACCTGATTAATGTCTATTTCATGTCTGAAAGTACTGTTCTCAGCCGAGAATAACAGTTCAACTTTTGGGTCAGTTTTTAATTTTTTTGAAAGTTAATGATTGCCTTTTGTTTTGCTTACTTTTTTTTTTTTTTTTTTTTTTGAGACAGAGTTTCACTCTGTCACCCAGGCTGTAGTGCAGTGGCGCGATCTCGGCTCACTGTAACCTCTTCTGCCGGGTTCAAGCGATTCTCCTGCCTCAGCCTCCAGAGTAGCTGGAACTACAGGTGTGTGCCACCTGTCTGGTTAATTTTTGTGTTTTTTGTAGAGACGGGGTTTCGCCATGTTGGCCAGGCTGGTCTTGAACTCCTGACCTTAAGTGATCCACCCGCCTTGGCCTCCCAAAGTGCTGGGATTACAGCCGTGAGCCACTGCGCCGGCCCGTGTCTGAAATTTTAAGACGATGTGCCCAAGTGTGGCATTTGGTGGCCTTATTCAATCTGGAAACTTATGTCTTTTGGGCTCTAGTGGAAAATATTCTTGTTGTATTTTGTTGCTAACCTCTTCTGTTTCATTTCACTTTCTCTTTTCTCTGTATTTCTCTATGGTAGTTGAAATTATACCTCCTGGTGTAGATTTTCCTGCCTTTCTGCCTTTCGCGTTCTGTTTCCACGACTCTCAAGTTTGTCCTCTAGCCCTTGTTTTGCATTTTTAATTTCTGCTGTCAGTTTTATAGCTTGAGAGCTTTCTCATGACCCAAGTGCCCCTTTTTTGGTGGCATCTGTTTCTTTAAGCTGTATTTTATCTCGTCTGTGTAAAGGTGTTTCCTTTGGCGTTTCCTTCTGTGCATTGTCTCATTGCTTTGAATGCCTTTTGTGTAGGTTTGTTTGGTCTCTGGCCCATGCTGTGAGGTTCTGAGCTCTCACTTTGTGCTTGGTGGCTGGTGGCTGTCCACCCATGTGTACCAGTGCCTGCCAACCTGAAGGGCTTTGGCAGGGGCCTTCGCTGCAGGGTGAGGTCTGAGGAGGAGCCTGAATGCTGGTTCAGTTCTTCCAGAGGACTCTCGACTCTCTTCTCTTGCTTGGTGAGCAGGTGGGTGTTGTGAGCCCGGCTGCCATCATTCTGGGATGGGGCATCTCACCCCTCGGGGAGTCTGTCACTGCGCTGTGCTGCTCTCACGAGGCCCCTTGCTCCACACTCCGTGGAGCTCGGAGCTTTTGTGTTCTCACTTTTCCAGCTTGTCTTTTTCTGAGATGGGGGCCGAGGGGCCTGCCTGGCTGCAGGGTCTCATGGCAGGGATCTGCTGCTCTCTGTATAGACTTGAAGCCCATCCTCCTGACATCGGTCTCCTGAGGTTCCTTTCATTCCCAAGCCTTTTCGGGTTCTCTGTTCGAGACGGTTTGCTTCTTAATTTGTCTTCCCTCCTGCAGGTAGCTGGGGTGCAGCTTGCTCTCCTTGGCTGAGTCAGTTACTGCTTGACCATTGCTTGGCAATGTCCAGGATTGTGATAACTCTATTGTCCTTGATGACTGATTGTTTCTACACACATGCCCCGGCCCCCATTTATGACTTCTGATATATTCTTGATTTATCACTGCCTGAGAGAAGGCTTTGGGGAGGAATAATTTGACTTTATGTAATTTTTATTTTTTTTAGAGATGGGGTCTTACTATGTTGCCCAGGCTGGTCCTGAACTCCTGGCCTCAAGTGATTCTCTTGTCTCAGCCTCCCAAAGTGCTGGGGTTACAGGCATGAGCCACTGTGGCTGGCTGCTTTCTTATTCTTTTTTTTTTTTGAGATGGAGTCTCACTCTGTTGCCCAGGCTGGAGTGCAGTGGCGTGATCTCGGCTCACTGCAATCTCTGACTCCCAGGTTCAAGCGATTCTCCCACCTCAGCCTCCCAAGTAGCTGGGACTACAGGCATGCACCACCACGCCCGGCTAATTTTTGTATTTTTAGTAGACATGGGGTTTTGCCATGTGGCTAGGCTGGTGTTGAACTCCTGATCTCAAGTGATCTGGTGGCCTTGGCCTCCCAAAGTGGTGGGATTACAAGCATGAACCACCATGCCCGGCCTCTCATGCTTAAATGAAGTAGTAATACCTGACCTTTTATTTTTTATCTATTTATATTTGAGATGGAGTCTCGCTCTGTCACCCAGGCTGGAGTGCAGTAGCGTGATCTTGGCTCACTGCAACCTCCGCCTCCCAGGTTCACTCCATTCTCCTGCCTCAGCCTCCTGAGTAGCTGGGACTACAGGCGCCCACCACCATGCCCGGCTAATTTTTTGTATTTTTAGTAGAGAGGGGGGTTTCACCCTGTTAGCCAGGATGGTCTCGATCTCCTGACCTCGTGATCTGCCCGCCTCGGCTTCCCAAAGTGCTGGGATTACAGGCGTGAGCCACCGCGCTTAGCAATACCTGACCTTTTAGTAAATCAAATTTGGGCAGGTGGTTCTGAGAGCTTGTGTGGCATGTATTTCTCAGTGGAATTTTAAATAGAATGGTGACTCGGCATTTATTCCTTGTCTGAAGTAAGCAAGTAGGAAGGACCTTGTTCCCCATTCAAGGGAATGAACGGTGTGGTATGTACTTTGCAAACCTACGTATGGGATTAGTCTGTAGTGCTCTGAAACCTAGAAATCAAAGGAAAGGCATGGGGCCTTTGACCGACTGACCTTTGTTTCTTGCTGGTAATAGAATATAGTAAATGGAAATTTATCTCAGTAGTTTAGTCAGTAGATTCTGTTATTGGTAATGATGGGTGAGTCCAGGGGAGTTTGGATACTTGAATTTTCCAGAGAGATTTGTTTAAACCCTGAACTGAAATGTTTTTTCTCATGTATTTTTTGATGACTTTAAAAAATAATTTCAGCCTTTATTTTAGATTCTGGGGGTAAATGTGCAGGTTTGTTATGTGGGCATATTGTGTGACACCAAGGCAGTTTATCATGGTGGATGATAAAAGGGGACTCCCTTAGGTCGAGTGTTGCTGAAAGACCTCTCTGCGGAAGTGACATTTCATCTGGGTCCTGAAGCTGCCTGGGACCAGCCTTGTCCCAGCCTGGAGGGGAGAAGGGCTTGAGGTGGTAGAGAGCCAGTTGTGTTTCAGGACCTGAGAGGCTGTACTGTTGGAACTCAGTGAGCGAGGAGAGGAGCTGGCATAAGCCGGATTGCTGGGGGAGGCCAGAACGTGCTGGGCCTTGAAGGCTCCGGCATGAGTCTGATTTTATCCTGGGTGCCTTGTAGGAAGCTGCCAAAGGAAAGCGAGTGAGTAACAGGTCTGATGTAATTATATGACAATATTACACTGTAGCAGGACAAGCCACAGACAAAACCCCTCAGACACCGAGTTAAAGAAGGGCTTTATTCGGCCGGGAGCTTTGGCAAGAGTCAAATCTTCAACAGCCGAGCTCCCCGAATGAGCAATTCCTGTCCCTCTTCAGGGCTCACAACTCTAAGAGGGTCCACGTGAGAGGGTCGTGATCGATTGAGCAAGCAGGGGGTATGTGACTGGGGGCTGCATGCACCTGTAATTAGAACGGAACAGGATGGGACAGGGATTTTCACAGTGCTTTTCTATACAATGTCTGGAATCTATAGATAACATAACTGATTAGGTCAGGGGTCGATCTTTAACTACGAGGCCCAGGGTGTGGCACCGGGCTGTCTGCTTGTGGATTTCATTTCTGCCTTTTAGTTTTTGCTTCTTCTTTCTTTGGAGGCAGAAATTGGGAATAAGACAATGTGAGGGGTGGTCTCCTCCCTTAATGCCAGCTTCTCTGTGGAAAGTAGGTTGGAGGTGAGTGGAAGGTGAAAGCTGCGAAGAGTCCCAACTGGAGATGCAGGTGGCAGCGGAGATGGCGAGAATAGGAGAGTCCGACCGGAGATGCAGGTGGCAGCGGAGATGGCGAGAATAGGAGAGTCCCGACCGGAGATGCAGGTGGCAGCGGAGATGGCAAGAGTAAGAGAGTCCCGACCGGAGACGCAGGTGGCAGCGGAGATGGCGAGAATAGGAGAGTCCGACCGGAGATGCAGGTGGCAGCGGAGATGGCAAGAGTAAGAGAGTCCCAACTGGAGATGCAGGTGGCAGCGGAGATGGCGAGAGTAAGAGAGTCCCGACCGGAGACGCAGGTGGCAGCGGAGATGGCGAGAATAGGAGAGTCCGACCGGAGATGCAGGTGGCAGTGGAGATGGCGAGAGTAAGAGAGTCCCGACCGGAGATGCAGGTGGCAGTGGAGATGGCGCGAGTAAGGGAGTCTGACTGGAGATGCAGGTGGCAGCGGAGATGGCCGGAATAGAGCACTCGTTTGGAGGAAAAGCGGACAGGTCGACAGGATGGATGTGATGGGGGCCCCGAAGGAGAGGATGCTGTAGAGACTGACATGGCACCTCTGGTGATCCCGTCGCTCAGGAAATGCTCGTTGTTTTCCAGCTGTGTTGCTCAGAAGCTCTTGGGACAGTTTTTGGTGCATTATGAGCACTCAGAGATGTGGTGCTATTGCTGGGTACCTGCTGTCTGCAGAGCATTTATTCTTACCAAGTATTTATTGAGAGCCTGCTACAATGCCAGGCACTTCCCAGGATTCTGGGACTATGGCAGGGAAAAAACAACTCCGTGTTCACATGGAGCTTGCATTCTAGTGGACAGAGATCAAAAAGAAAAACATAGTTTAGTGGGATGTTAGAAGATGATAAACACAACAGAGAAATATCATTCTAGTGGATAGAGATCGAAAATAAACACGAAATTTGGTGAGATGTTAGAAGATGATAAACACAACAGAGAGATATTAAGGGGGGAAGGTGATTGGGTAAATGAGGGTATAGGTGTTCAATTTTAAGTAGAATGATCAGGGCCGGCCCTTCTGTGAAGGCAGCAGTTGAGCAAGGACCTGGAGCTAGTGAGGCAGTGGCCACGTAGAAGTTAGTGGGGAGGGCGTCTTGGCAGAGGGAGTGGTAAGTGCAGAGGCCTTTGTCGGGGAGGATGACTGCTGCACGGAAGAAACAGCAGGAGGCGCATGTGGCTTTAGGACAGCAATCCTGGGTGGAAAGGCAGTAGGGGGTTAGGTTGGGGGGAATGAAGGTGGGGGACAGGTGGAGTAGGGCCTTTCCTAGAGCTTTATAAAGACTGTGGCTCTTACTAGAATGCTAAACACTGAGTATCCTTGAGTAGCTCAGGCCTTTGTAATGCAGAGTGGTGAATGGTGTGAGGGGTGAACAGCTTCGGAGAGGTCAGGCATGGAATGCAGGGGTGATGCTTGGCTCAGGTCTTGCTAGGCTGATGGGATGTGGGGGATGGTCTGGAAAGGGTGGGCAGTCCCGTGTGCCACGCTGCAGAGAGGCATGAGCAGCAGCAGGACACATGTGATACATTGAGGGTGACTCCTAGCGTGGGTAGGGCCTAGTGGGGCACGGGAATGTGGCTGGAGACCAAGGTGGGAGAGGCAGCCAAAACCAGATGGTAGGACCTCCTGTCTAGGATGTGGGCTGTTTAAGTATTTTAAGCAGGGGAATGACACTCAATTTTTAAAAATTTTTTTGAGATGGAATCTCTCTCGTCACCCAGGCTGGAGTGCAGTGGTATGATCTCAGCTCACTGCAACCTCCACCTCCTGGGTTCAAGCGATTCTCCTGCCTCAGCCTCTCGAGTAGCTGGGATTATGAGTGCTGCCACCACGCCTGGCTAATTTTTGTATTTTTAGTAGAGATGGGGTTTCACCACATTGGGCAGGCTGGTCTTGAATGCCTGACCTCAGGTGATCCGCCCGCCTCGGCCTCTCAAAGTGCTGGGATTACAGGCATGAGCTAATGCATCCAGCCTCACTTTCTGTTTTGCTGGTAGAATAGTCATTTTGAGGCCAGGCATGGTGGCTGAGGTCTGTAATCCCAGCACTTTGGGAGGCCAAAACTGGAGGATCTCTTGAGTTCAGGAGTTCAAGACCAGTGTGGGCAACTTAGTGAGACCTTATCTCTACAAAAAATAAGAACAGAAAAGGAAAAGAATGGTCATTTTGGATATAGAGGATGGGTTTTAGGTGAGGCTTAGAGGCAGGAAAGCCAGTTAGGAAAAGATGGATTGCTTTGGTCCAGAGGAGACGGCGAGGATCTGGAGTGGAAAGGTAGGAGTGACATGTGGAGGTTTAGAAAACAGAATCAACAGAGGCATGCATGCTAAACATTCTTCATTCGTGACAGCTTTGAGTCTGCATCAGAAATGCCACTTAGCCGGAATGGTGGAGTGAGGCCTCTGTAATCCAATCCTCCATAAAAGCAGTGAAAACACTGGCAAAAATGGTCAAAATCAACTGTCAGAACGCGAAATTAACCAACGGTTGCGACACTCTGAGGAGCTTTTATCTGTGAACAACTGTGGCACCTCTAACTCAACCTCCTCCCATTCTCTTCTCCCCAGCTCCGTGGTAACCATGGAAACCAGCTGCCTTATAACCATGGTAGCTGGGAAAGCCAGCAGCCTAGCAGCTACTGGAGGGGACACATGAAGGCTGGAGCTCCTCAGCAAGTCCCGGCTGCAGAGCATGTCACTCTCGGACCTGTCCCACTTACTGAGCTTGCCATCGTATGAGCTAGCTCAGTGTGAAAACCCTGTTTCTGAAAGAGAGACTGTCAGTTGAGAATTCTGTGTCCAGTAAAACTGTCCTTTGAAAATAGAGGAATTGGCTGGGTGTGGTGGCTCATGCCTGTAATCCCAGCACTTTGGGAGGCCAAGGTGGGTGGATCATCTGAGGTCGGGAGTTCGAGACCAGTCTGGCCAACATGGTGAAACCCCGTCTCTACTAAAAATACAAAAATTAGCCAGGCGTGTTGGCGAACGCCTGTAATTTAGCTACTCAGGAGGCTGAGTCACGAGAATTGCTTGAACCTGGGAGGCGGAGGTTGCAGTGAGCCAAGATTGTGCCACTGCACTCCAGCCTGGGTGAACAGAGCAAGATCCTGTCTCAAAAAAAAAGAAATTAAGATATTTCCAGGTAAACAATAAACAGAGGACATTTGTTGTTTTAGCCAACCTCCCTTATAATACATACTGAAAGGAATGTCTCAGGCTGGAATGAAAGGACACTAGGTGGTAGGATACGTGAAGAAATAAAAGAACAACGGTGAAGACAGCTACATATGTCAAGTTAAAAGACAATGTAAGTGCACTTTTGTAACTTTTAGTCTCCTGTCTTTTTTTCTTTTCTTTTTTTTTTTTTTTTTGAGACGGAGTCTCCCTCTGTCGCCAAGGCTAGAGTGCGGTGGCGCCGATCTCGGCTCACTGCAGCCCCCACCTCCCGGACTCAGGTGATTCTCCTGCCTTAGCCTTTTGAGTAGCTGGGATTACAGACTCCCGCCACCAGGCCCAGCTAATTTTTGTATTTTTAGTAGAGACAGGGTTTTGCCATGTTGGTCAGGCTGGTCTCGAACTCCTGACCTCAGGTAATCCACCTGCCTTGGCTTCCCAAAGAGCTGAGATTGCAGGCGTGAGCCATTACGCTTGGCCCCTATCTGCCTTAAAAGACAACTGTACAAAGTAATAATTATAAAGCTGTTTTGATAGGCTTATAACATATAAAGGTGTGATTTGACAGTTACAGCACAAAAGAGAAGTGAGGGAAGAGCTTTATAGGAGCAACATTTCTCCGTACCATTAGAATTAGGTTTGTGTTAATCAAAACTGGATTGTTTTAAGTTAAGGTGCTAGTTGGCTGGGCGCGGTGGCTCACACCTCTAATCCCAGCGCTTTGGGAGGCCGAGGTGGGCGGATCACTTGAGGTTGGGAGTTCGAGACCAGCCTGGTCAACATGGCAAAACCCCATCTCTACTAAAAATACAAAAATTAGTTGGGCATGGTGGCGTACTTGGAGACAGGCCAGATGTAGTGGCTCACGCCGCCTGTAATCCCAGCGCTTTTGGGAGACCAAGGTGGGAGGGTTTCTTAAAGCCAGGAGTTCGAGAGCCTGGGCAACAAAAGTGAGACCCCCGTCTCTACAAAAAAAAATTAGCCAGGCCCAGAGATGTGCCCTTATAGTCCCAGTTACTTGGGAGACTGAGACAGGAGGATTGTTTAGCCTGGGAGTTTGAGGTGCAATGAACTATGATCACGCCCCTGCACTTCAGCCTGGGTGACAAAGCAAGACATTGTCTCTTAAAAAAACTTGGAGATAAATGCAAATAAAAACACAGCATTCCAAAAATTATACACTGCAGTGAGAGCAGGGCTGAGGGGGAAGTTTATAACTGTAAATACCTACATTAAAAAAGATCTCAAATCATTAACCTGTGTTTCACCTTAAGACACCAGAAAAAGCACGAACAAAACCTAAAACAAGAAGGAAGAAAATAGCAAAGATGAGAGCAAAGATTGGTTATTTGAAAAGATCATCAAAATTGGCAAACTTAGTGAGACTGACTGAGATAAAAAGAAGACTCAGATTGCTAAAAGCAGGAATGAGAGGGGAGATTATTATTCACCTTACAGAAATAAAAAGGATTATAAGAGAATTCCATGAATAATTGTGTAACAAAATATTAGATAACTTAGTTGAAATGGACAAATTCCTAGAAAGTCGTGACCGAAGCTAACTCAAGAAGAAATAGAAAATCTGAATAGTTGCTCACTTTGGCAACACATATACTAAAATTGGAACAATACAGAGATTAGCATGGCCCTTGTGTGAGAATGACACACAAATTTGTGAAGCATTCCATAAAAGAAAACCTAAATAGACTTATAATAAGTAAATAGATTGAATTAATAATTTAAAAACTTGTCACGGCCGGGTGCAGTGGCTCATGCCTGTAATCCCAGCACTTTGGGAGTCTGAGGCACTCGGATCACTTGAGGTCAGGAGTTCTAGACCAGTCTGGCCAATTTGGTGAAACCCCGTCTCTACAAAAAATATAAAAATTACCCAAGTGTGGTGGTGCACACTGGTAATCCCAGCTACTTGGGAGGCTGAGGCAGGAGAATCTCTTGAACCCAGGAGGTAGAGGTTGCAGTGAGCCAAGATCGCACCATTGCATTCAAACCTGGGCAACGAGCGAAACTCCATCTCAAAGGAAAACCCAAAAACTGAAAAACAAGATCTTGTCACAAGAATAAGCTCTGGGCCAGGTGGCTTCTCTAGAAAAGTCACACTTACTGAGCTTGTCATTATTTGAGTTCTACCAAACACTTAAAGAATTAATACCAGTCCTGGCCGGGTGCAGTGGCTCATGCCTGTAATCCCAGCACTTTGGGAGGCTGAGGTGGGTGATCATTTGAGGTCAGGAGTTCAAGACCAGCCTGGCCAACATCTCTACTAAAAATGCAAAAATTGGATGAGTGTGGTGGCACGCACCTTTAGTCCCAGCCACTTGGGAGGCTGAGGCAGGAGAATCGCTTGAAACCGAGAGGCGGAGGTTGCAGTGAGCCGAGATCATGTCACTGCACTCCAGCCTGGGCGACAGAGAGAGACTCTGTCTCAAGAAAAGAATTAATACCAGTCCTTTACAAACTCTTTGGAAAAGTAGGAGGGCATACTTAACTCATTCTATAAGGCCAGTATTATGCTGATACCAAAACTAGACAAAGACATGACAAGAAAGGAAAATTACAGGCCATTATCATGAATATAGAAACAAGAATCTTCAACCAAATGCTAGCCAGTTGAATCCAGCAACAACGTATAAAAAGGATTATACAGGCCGGGAGTGGTGGCTCACACCTGTAATCCCAGCACTTTCGGAGGCCGAGGCGGGTGGATCACGAAGTCAGGAGATGGAGACCAGCCTGGCCAACATGGTGAAACCCCATCTCTACTAAAAATACAAAAATTAGCTGGGTGTGGTGGCATGTGCCTATAGTCCCAGCTACTCAGGAGGCTGAGGCAGGAGAAGTGCTAGAACCCGGGAGGCGGTGTTGGCAGTGAGCCGAGATCACGCCACTGCACTCCAGCCTGGGTGACAGAGAGAGACTCTGTCTCAAAAAAGAAAAAAAAAAAAACAGGTTTATACACCAGATTCGAGTGAGAATTGTCCCAGGAATGCAAGGTTGGCTTAACATCTGAAAATCAATCCATGTAATACTTCATATTAATACCATAAAGGATGAAAAAATGCCTGGTCATCTCCATAGATGCAAAAAAGAACAGGATTGGAGGATTCACATGCTGATTCCAAAACTTAATACACAAATGATTAAGATAGTATAATACTGGTATAAGGACAGATACGTAGATACTGAGATAATAATATTGAGAGTACAGAAGTAAACCTTTACATTTGTGGTGAATTGATTTTCAGCAGGAGTGCCAAGATAATTCAATGGTGGGGGAAAAGAATAGTCTTAAACAAATGGTGCTGGGATGACTGAATCTCCATGTAAAAGTATGTAAATGGACTCCTACCTTACACTATGCACAAGAAATAACTCCATGGATCATAAACCCAACTGTAAGAGCTAAAACTATGAGACTCCTACCAAAAAAACAGGAGTAAGTTTCTGTGACTTTGGAATATGGTTTTTTTTTTTTTTTTTTGACAGAGTTTCGCTCTGTCACCAGGCTGGAGTGCAGTGGCGTGATCTTGTTTCACTGCAATCTCCACCTCCCAGGTTCAAGAGATTCTTCTGCCTCAGCCTCCTGAGTAGCTGGGGCCACAGGCCTGCACCACCATGCCCAGCTAATTTTTGTGTTTTTTTGTAGAGATAGGGTTTTGCCGTGTTGGCCAAACGCCATTCGCTTGCCTCGGCTTCCCAAAGTGCTGGGATTACAGGTGTGAGCCACTGTGCCCGGTCTGGAATATGATTTCCTAGGTGACAACAAATGTGCAAATGACAAAAAAAAAGTTAATCTGGACTTCATAACGTGTGCTACAAAATACTATTTAGAAGGTGAAATGGCAACCTGAGAATGAGAGAAAATATTTGAAAACCGTGTACCTGATAAAGGGCTCGTTATTTAGAATATATAAAAAACTTCATGAAGACAACTAAATTAAAAAATTGATGAAGTGTTAGGGGCTGCGGGTGTGGTGGCCATACCTGTAATCCCAGCATTTTGGGAGGCTGAGGTAGGTGGATCACCCGAGGTCAGGAGTTCAAGACCAGCCTAGCCAACATGGTGAAACCCCGTCTGTACTAAAATACAAAAATTAACTGGGTGTGGTGGTGTGCACCTGTAATCCCAGCTTCTTGGGAGGCTGAGGCACAAGAATCACTTGAACCTGGGAAGCGGATGTTGCAGTGAGCCGAGGTCATGTCACTGTACTCCAGCCTGGGTGACAGAGTGAGACTGCATCTCAAAAAAAAAAAAAATTGATGAAGTATTAAAATATATATTTCTTCCAAATAGATTTACGAATGTTCAATAAGCATATAAAAGCTATCAGAAAAATGCATATCAAAATCACAATGAGATACTGCATCACACTTACCCAGATGGCTGTAATAAAAAAGATGAGGCCAGGCACTCCCAGCTGTAATTCCAGCACTTTGGGAGGCCGAGGTGGGTGGATCACCTGAGGTCAGGAGTTTGAGACCAGCCTGACCAATATGGTGAAACCCCACCTCTACTAAAAATACAAAAATTAGCTGGGCGTAGTGGCAGGCGCCTGTAATTCCAGCTACTTGGGAGGCTGAGGCAGGAGAATTGCTTGAACCTGGGAGGTGGAGGTTGCAGTGAGCCGAGATCGTGCCACCACACTCCAGCCTGGGTGACAGGGCGAGACTCCGTCTCAAAAAAAAAAAAAGAACGTGTGAGTTTATCCCTGGTGATGGGCACAGTAGCTTCTCGTGGCTGGACCAGTGCTTTGCTCCTTATTTCACACTTCTCATCACAGCTCTTTCATTGATGGCACACCCATTTGAAGAAGAGAAACCGAGGCAGGTTGCGGTTAAGTTGATAGCCCAGGGTCACGTAGCTAGTAAAACATGGAGTGACATTCCAGTCCAGGCCTGATTTCAGAGTTTGCTTGGCTGACTGCTGTGCTAACCACCTTAATAGTAATTTTAGCAATTATAGCTTCCTTCAAAAATTCTTGGGCTTGGTCAATTTTGGGCTTTTGGGTTACTCGGCGGAATCACTTTATTTCTTTGAGACAGAGTCTCACCTTGTTGCCTAGGCTGGAGTACAGCGATGTCTGTCCTGGCTCACTGGAGTGTTGACTTCCTGGGCTCAGGTGATTCCCCCCACCTCAGCCTCCCTAGTAGCTGGGACCACAGGCATGCACCACCACACCTAATTTTTTAAAAAATTATTTATGGAGACCAGGTCTCCCTATGTTGCCTAGGCTGGTCTCGAGCTCCTGGACTCAAAACAGCCCTCCCACTTCAGCCTCCCAAGGTGCTGGGATTATAGGCGTGAGCCACTGCCCAGTCTGAAATCACTTTATATACAGACTAAAACTCTGTAGACCAAGTTTTGCTGCACATTGCAAGGACAGAAGATTTTGGTACTTTGGTATTTTATAATCATCTGTCATAGGCTCCTTTACTATTTTTTGTGGAACTTGGGCTGTTCCCAGAATACTAATCCTCTCTGTTGATTAGTTCAGCCTGTAAACAAGAAATCATTAACCAGCATGCTGTTCCTGAAGAATGACCAGGGACAATAATTGTAAAAATTCAAGAGCTTTTATCCAAGCCTGCCCCTATAGAGTGTGTTCTTTGCTACTTCATGGAATGCAAATTGTAACTTGCTTTTGCCAGTAGCTATGGCATGTCCAGGTTACTCATTAGCCACCAGAGCTCCTAAGTTCACTGCGAGAATTCCCTGATGCAAGTACAGTACCCTTAGTGCTGATGGGCTGGCTGCATTTCAGACAGGAATAGTGCAGGATGACTGTGGCCAGCGTCTCTTTAACAAAGATCAGACTGTGTGTGGGGCTGGGCTTGTTGCTGTGGGTCAGTTACTCTTTAACAAAGATCAGACTCTGTGTGGCTGGGCTTGTTGCTGTGGGTCAGTTACTCTTGCTCATGCTTTACCCTTTCAGAATTCAGCTCCTCCCCGCTTCTCCTCAAGCTAATTTATCTAAAAAGATAAGATTTTTTTGCTAGATCTGTTCCCGGCACGGTGGGGTGGTTGAAGTCCTCCTGTGAGGCCCTCTGCCTTATGGAGATCAGTGCAGTGTCAGTGGCACGAATTGGTGCCTGGCCAGGAGCACGCTCTGCTCCTTTACAGGAGAGCCCCTGACAGGCACTGGAGGGCTCAGATTGTTACCTGCGTCCGTCATGACTGCAGGGGTGCTGCGTTGATCATGCAGCTTCTACTAGAGCGTTTTTGGTAAATTTGGGACATGGTAGTTGACTTGAATGTGTCAGTCTTGCCTGCAGGTCATCATCCGTCATCTCAGCCATGGTCGTGCTGGATTGTCTTTCTTGTTTTTGAGACAGCCTCTCTCTCTGTCACCCAGTCGCCCAGTCTGGAGTGCAGTGGTGTGATCTCGGCTCACTGCAACCTCTGCCTCTCGGGTTCAGGCAATTCTTCCACTTCAGCTTCCCCAGTAGCTGGGATTACAGGCGCACGCCACCATGCCCAGCTAATTTTTGTGTTTTTACTAGAGACAGGATTTCACCATGTTGCCCAGGCTGGTCTCAAACTCCTGACTTCAAGTGATCCACCTGCCTCAGTCTCCCAAAGTGCTGGGATTATAGGCGTGAGCCACTGCGCCTAGCCTGAATGCGTATTTTTATGTGAAATTAGTTTTCCTGAACTGTCAGAGGAGGCATGGTCTGGGTGGCTTTTCTACCGTAAGAGCCCCCCCCCCCCATTGTCTTCACACAGTGGCCTGCCTGGCAGCTGCAGTTGGAAGTCCCTGGCTCCGTCCTGGCTCCGTCTGCCTCCGTCTGCCTCCGTCTGCCTGCTGTCCCTGCACCTCCCCTTTTTCCTGCTTTTGCGTCGTCTCTGCTCAGTAGGGGCGCTGGGCCAGGTCACTCCATCCCTGGTTCTTGCATCATGCTCAGCCCTCTGTGGATACTGGGGCTGCTTAGGCTCTCCTGTCCTCAGGTCTGGCCGAGACGTGACACTACTCTTCTCTCTACCTTCTCTCTTTTTTTTTTTTTTTGAGATGGAGTCTTGCTCTGTTGCCCAGGCTGTAGTGCAATGGCGCGATCTCGGCTCACTGCAACCTCCGCCTCCTGGGTTCAAGCGATTCTTCTGCCTCAACTTCCTGAGTAGCTGGGATTGCAGGCGCCTGCCACCATGCCTGGCTAATTTTTGTATTTTTAGTAGAGACGAGGTTTCACCATGCTGGCCAGGCTGGTCTTGAACTCCTGACCTCAGGTGATCCGCCCGCCTCAGCCTCCCAAAGTGCAGACGTGAGTCACTGTGCCTGGCCTCTCTACCTTCTCTTGCACAGACATGATGCCGTGAGGTTGTACGGCCGTTGGTGGCTTTCCTTTTGAGGGAGCTGGAGCTCAGAGGCACAGCAGAATGAGTCAAAGGCTGCACTTGGATTCCCACCTCACTTGGATTCCCACCTCACGTGCTGGCCCCAAAGTTCACTCTTGTCATCACCTTCCATGCTTCTCCCCCTCCTCAGGGGCTGGCCTGCCCTCGTTTTAAAGTGTGTGTGTATGCGTATATTTGTATTTATGCATGTGTGTGTACATGTGTGTATTTGTGTGTGTGTATGTATTTGTGTTTATGTGTATGTATGTATATGTGTATATATGTTGTATTTGTGTTTATATTTGTGTATATATGTTGTATTTGTGTTTGTGTACGTGTGTATTTCTGTGTATCTGTGTATTTGTATTTATGTGTGTTTGTAAATGTGTGTATATGTATATTTGTGTGTGGCGTGTACATTTGTGTATTTGTGTGTATTTGGTTTATGTGTGCTTGTACGTGTATTTGTGTGTATATATGTGTATTTGTGTTTGTATAAATGTGTATTCATGTGTGTTTGTAAATGTGTGCATGTGTGTATTTGGTGTGTGTGTGTGTGTATTTGTGTGTGTGTGTGTTGAAAATTGGGCAATTAAAAGCAAGCTGTGGATGGGAAGCTGGAACTTGTCTCTGTTTCTGTCCCACAGAGGAGGGGGGTTAACTGCCTGTTTCTCCTGGTGGTTACCTCTATAACTCTACATTATGTGCTGTTTGTTTTAGTTTGTGGTTTCACAACCTTATATAAAATCTGTAGATTCCGTTTAGGAAAGTTGATTTAGCTCATGTAGTAGTATTTCCTCTTTCTCCTGCCCCCAGGTTTTTAGTATTTCTGCTTTAGATCTGAGCTCTGTTGATTCTGGACAACATAAGTTCCCCCTCAGAGTGGTTTCTTTCCCTGGTGTTTGGGTGGGTAAAGTAGAGGGCACAAACCAGGGAGAGAGCGCAAGGTCCCCTGTTGCAGACTTAATAGCACAGATCTGTGTACACCTTTGTGAGAAGCACACATGTACACACACAGTGGCATGCACACATAGGCACACGCACACTGGCACACCGCACCCAGTGCAGAGTGCCTCACCCATGCGCAGTCCCAGCTGTGTGAAGCTGCCTGCAGGCTTTGTGTGGCAGAAGCTCCCAAGACACTGTTTTCGTGACTCTTTCAGCCAAGTCCAAAAAACCTGCCATCCTGGGGGGCATCAGGCTGCCAGCATCCTCCTGTACCTGCTGTCCTGCTTTCTTGTGGAGCCGTCCGCTGGTCAGCCATCATACAGAGAGGAGTGGGGATGCTGAGACGCTGGGCAGCCTGCCCAGGGGTCACTGCTGTGAGCAGCTTTCAGGGCTGGGAAGAGAGACTGACTGGGACAGGAGGTTTGGGTGTGTCTGTGTTTTGTTAAAGGTCCCCTGAGGGCAGAAGCTGTTGTGTTCCCAGCACCTGGGACAGTGCTTGGGTCGGGGAGCCGCCACATAGGCACTTGATTTTCCTGTTCTGACCACCTGTCCATCTGAAGTTTTCTAGGGTAGGACTGGCTCAAAGGAGTGTTTGTTCGGTTCAGGAAACATTCAACCTTATTTATTAGCAAATGTGTAGTAAAAGACAAAAGATATTCTGGAGGAGGGAGCTTGTCCTGTGGGGGAGGCAAGATCAGTTTTGGAAGCAGCAGTGGTGGAGTTCGGCCCTGTGACTGCGTAGGGCAGGGGTGAGCTCTTTGTCCTCTGATCTGTGCACACCAGGCCTGGCGGGGCCGCTTGTGTCGTGTTCTGATGTGGATGGGTTGCTGCAGAGGCCTTTTACTTCAGCTGGAGATCCTTAAACCAAAGACTCACTTGAGAAGGTTTTTTAAATAGTCAGCTTTATTATTGCTTTAAAAAAGTGACTTAGGGCCAGGTGCAGTGGCTCACACCTGTAATCCCAGCACTTTAGGAGGCCAAGGTGAGAGGATTGCTTGAGCTCAGGAGATCGAGACCAGCCCAAATACCGTAGTGAGAACTTGTCTCTATTTTTTCTTTTTTCTTTTTTTTTCTTTCTGGGGATGGAATCTTGCTCTGTCATCTCGCCTCACTGCAGCCTCTGCCTCCTGGGTTCAAGTGATTCGTCTGTCTCAGCCTCCCAAGTAGCTGGGATTACAGGCATGCGCCACCACGCCTGGCTAATTTTTGTATTTTTAGTAGAGACGGGGTTTCGCCACGTTGGCTAGGCTGGTCTCCAACTCCTGACCTCAGGCGACCCACCTGCCTCTGATGAGGCACCACCATGCCTGGCCATATTTTTAATTTTTTAAAAAATAGAATAAAAAGTGACTTAAATGTACACAAAGTTGTTTTTGCACACAACTCACCTTACCCTGTGTGATGAATAATTGTATTTTGACAGTGCTTGTTAAACATGTGTATCCCTATTAAAATCACTTGTACTCTTTAAGCCTCAGTTTTCACAGCTGGTCCAGGTAGAGTTAAACTACACGTGGTCTCATCTCTCTCCCTTGCCTGGCTTGTGACATACATGCAAGTGTTTGTTGAGCGAGGTCCCTTTAGCAATAGATTTAGCGTGTACTGAAAGTTTGATTGTCACACATCTAATGTGCGTTTTCCCTCTTTTGTACAATGGAGAATTCCCACATTTCATGGGTGTGAGCTGAAAAAAAGACTTGAAGCTAACATTCCTCTGCTGTCCCACTACAACACAGAAGACTTCTGTGACCCCAGAATATGTGGGGGTTTCTCCCCATCGGCAAACAAGCTATCAGTTCTGCAGCAGGCACCAGCGGGGTGTCCTCCAGCTTGATTCTGACACCGTCTACCTGGAGGTAGTGTCAGATCCTGCAGGGGAGTCCCAGGGCTACCCCCTACTTCTCATGTTAGCCTCAAGCCTCAGGTTGTGACCTGTGCTTGTGCATGACAGACTGTGAATGGACATCTCACGACCCCCTCTTTGGATTCAATTAGTTTGCTAGAGAGGCTCACAGAACTCAGGGAAACACATTTATTTGATCATAAAAGCTAGTATGAAGGGTGCAGGTGACGTGATGCGTAGGGCATGGTACCGGGCCATGGCCGCTCCATGTCCCTCCAGGGATCCCCATGTGTTCAGTTATCTGGACGTTCCCCAAACCCTGTCCTCCTGGGCCTTTTGTGCAGACTTCATTGGATAGGCATGATTGACAGCTGTGTACAAATGGGACTGGACCAAAAGGGTGTGATCTAAACCCAGCAGGGCCTGTCTGTGCAGATTCTTCCCGGCCTATCTGTGCGGCGTTCCTTCCCCCGGGGTGTGGGGCAGGGCCCCTTCAGAAATGTGGGTCTTGTGACCCACAGTCAGACAAGGTAGGTCAGAGAATTTATGGCCAGCTCCACGACAGAAAGGCTGGGGGTGGTTAGAGTCCCTTGTTAGTCTTATGGCCTGCCTTGGGGAAAAAATAACAAGAGCTGTGAGAGTTTTGAGCCAGGAACTGTAGATGAAAACCAGTATGTATGTATAATATCACAATTGGATATTATGCAAGTGGACTTGTCAGATTTTGTAGGAAAGCCCTCATGTTCCTACCAACAACTGTTTGCCCTGCAGCACAGACCTGCTCCCTGTATCGTAATCCCTCCTAGCTTCATCTGCTTTCCTTACACAGCACATGGTGATTAAATAGGTGTGCGACTGCTTGGTCAGTAACAGTCTTCTGCCAGACTGTGTCTTCCGTGAGGGTAACAGAGACCATGTCTGTTTTTGCTCATCCTTGTGCCTTGGTGCCCAGCACCATGTGTGGACAGTTGTAGGTGCTCAGTGGATATTTACGGAACAAATGCATCAGTCCGTCTTTAAGGTTCCCTCTAGCTGTGGACCGAGTTGCCTCCGTGGCTCCACCCCAGTTCATATGCTGAAGCCCCAACCCCAGTGTGACTGGATTTGGAGACAGGGCTTTCAGGAGGCATTTAAGGTTAAATGAAGTCATAGAGGTGGGGTCCTAATCCTGTAGGATTGGTGGCCTTGTAAGAGGAAGAGAGAGCGTGCTCGCTTCATAAGCATGCGTCAAAGAAAGGCCACGTGAGCACACAGAAGGTGGCTGTCTGCAAGCCAGGAAGAGAGCCCTCACCAGAAACCACCCTGCTGGTGTGTTGCTCACAGGCTTCCAGCCTGCAGGCCTGTGAGAAGATGAAGTGTTTCAGCCGCCCCGTCTGGGGTGTTTTGTCATGGCAGCCGGAGCAGACTAAGGGACCTGTAGCCCTGACATTCCATCATTTTATGACCATGAGGAATTACAGATCCTGGGCATTGCTTTCAAATGAGACACATGAAATTGAAATGTGTCAGTTCAGGTATTTTGATTGCCATTGGGGATGGATAAGCCAAAAAGAAAGACTATTTTAAATGACTAGATTTGACAACAGATAGGTTGTAATGTCTATCAACAGATAGACTGAATAGATCAGTCTTTCCTGCTTTGGACAGAAGCTAGCCTTTGGGGCTGTTGGTGGGAGCACTCCTAATATTATTAATGATATTAGTACCTAACCATATTTGCTGAGGACTTCTCTTGTAGGAGTGCTAATCCCATCATGAGGGCCCACCTCATGACCCCATCTAAACCCAGCCACCTTCCAAAGGTTCCATCTTCAGATACTATGACATTGGGGTTAGGGCTTCAGCATGCGAATTTTGAGGGGACAGAAACATTCAGTCCATACGGCAGGGGAGGCAGGCTGATTTCAACGGGCACATCTGAGCTGAGTCTTGAAGGATGCGTGTTGCAGAGGCTGCATCTGTTTTGCGACTGCAGTTGATCGAGGAAGAAACTGTGGAGGTGAATTTATAAAAGAAAATTGAAAGCCTATAGTAGTAAAACTGTGTGCTTTTGGCAGTGGAAGTTGATTTTAGGAGTAAACCTCCGTGTTATTAGCGGATGACGATTTATCATGGCAAACATCCAGCAAGATATTTGAGTTCTGAGCTTGGTAAAGAGGTAGAGTTAGAAATGGTGCTGTGGAGCACCCCCTGGGTGCGCAGCGGCTGGCCCGGGCGGTTCAGGACTCGCTCCTTTGCTGTCCTGACCCAGGCACTCCCTTTCCCCTAGGCTCAGTCCCGGCCCCGGCCCTGCTGCAGCCCCTTCCTGCCGGCTCTGGGTTGGAGGCAGGTGTCTGCTTCGGCTTTTCTCCTGCCTTGAAACGGGGCCTCATCCCATTCGTGAGTTCTGAGTGTCAGTCTTATCAGGGAAATGGTGTTTCTTTAGAAATCAATTAAAATAAAAATGGCTTTTTGTTCTTTTTTTTAGGTAAAAGTAAAGAAGCAGAAATAAAAAGGATAAACAAGGAACTGGCAAATATCAGATCAAAATTTAAAGGTAAGTATGTTTAACCTTTTCCATGAAATGTCCTGTTGTAAATTTTCTGTAGTAAGAACCCAGTCTTTTAATACTGTCTTCTTTTCTCCCACACTAAAGTGAAGTTCTCAGTTTGTACAGTTTCTATCAGGGCCCTGTCAGAATTAGGAAATGGCATGTGTGGAGCTGGTTAGGTGGGGCAGCCCCTCCTGGTGTCTGGTCTTTTCCTGGAGCTGGAACAGCACTGGTCTAGTGCCCAGCTGCATGTCGCAGTATTAGCCACCAGGCCAGCGTGCTGGGGGTTCAGAGGACAGACACCAAGTACGGGAAGTGCTCTGTGTAAGGCGCCACCGAACGCCTCCTGCTGACGGTCAACAGGGACCTGACCTGCGCTCGGTGGACTGCCTCTCTGTGAGCCAGTGTGTGGGCTGAGTGCCTTCCCTGAACATCCTTACTTTGAAGAATTGTGAAGTACGGATTTAGTTTTCAGCCCTTGGGACATTTTTGAAACCCCAGTTAATCCTTAAAGCCTTAATTTTTCAGTTAATGTTTACAGATTTGCAACCTGGCTCACCTCCCTGAGCATACCTTAGCCACGGTGTAGCTGAAATTGCCCAGGCACAATGAGTCGGGGAGAGGGCTGAGCCTGACCCCTGTGGAACTGGAGGGACAGGCAGAACACAGCTTGGGGACAACTGGAGTTTCATGGGATGGGTGCTTTTGAGGGCTTGAGAATGGATATCCAGTAGTTTCTTTTCTTTTCTTTTTTTTTTTTTGAGATGGAGTCTTGCTCTGTCGCTCAGTGTGGAGTGCAGTGGCACGATCTTGGCTCACCGCAACCTCCGCCTTCCAGGTTCAAGCGGTTCTCCTGCCTCAGCCTCCCGAGTAGCTGGGATTACAGGCGTGTGCCACCACATGCCTGTAATTTTATTTAGTAGAGACGAGATTTCTCCATGTTGGCCAGGCTGGTCTCAAACTCCTGGCCTCAAGTGATCTGCCCGCCTCGGCCTCCCAAAGTGCTGGGATTACAGGCATGAGCCACTGTGCCCGGCCCAGCTGATTTTTGTACTTTTAGTAGAGACGGGGTTTCTCCATGTTGGTCAGGCCGGTCTCGAACTCCCGACCTCAAGTGATCCACCTGCCTCAGCCTCCCAAAGTGCTGGGATTACAGGCGTGAGCCACTGTGCCTGGCCTGGCTGATTTTTGTACTTCTAGTAGAGATGGGGTTTCTCCATGTTGGTCAGGCTGGTCTTGAGCTCCCGACCTCAAGTGATCCACCTGCCTCAGCCTCCCAACATGCTGGGATTACAGGCGTGAGCCACTGCACCCCACACGGCTGGTTTTTGTATTTTTAGTAGAGACGGGGGTTTCTCCATGTTGGTCAGGCTGGTCTCGAACTCCCAACCTCAGGTGATCCACCTGCTTTGGCCTCCCAGAGTGCTGGAATTACAGGCGTGAGCCTCTGCGCCCGGTGTGCACCTTTGTTCTTAACTGTAGAATGGGGAAACCAGTGATCTCAAGTTGGGTTCTCCAGGATGTGGACTCTGAAATGGGCTGTGTACAGAAGATTTATTCAGAGTGACACCAGTGAAAAGTAAAGGGCAGAAGCAGATGGAGATGTGGGTCTGACAGTCACCACCACCAGTGAAAAGTAAAGGGCAGAAGCAGATGGAGATGTGGGTCTGACAGCCGCCGCCACCAGTGAAAAGTAAAGGGCAGAAGCAGATGGAGATGTGGGTCTGACAGTCACCACCACCAGTGAAAAGTAAAGGGCAGAAGCAGATGGAGATGTGGGTCTGACAGCCGCCGCCACCAGTGAAAAGTAAAGGGCAGAAGCAGATGGAGATGTGGGTCTGACAGTCACCACCACCAGTGAAAAGTAAAGGGCAGAAGCAGATGATGTGGGTCTGACAGTCGCCGCCACCAGTGAAAAGTAAAGGGCAGAAGCAGATGATGTGGGTCTGACAGTCGCCGCCACCAGTGAAAAGTAAAGGGCAGAAGCAGATGGAGATGTGGGTCTGACAGATTCGCCACCACCAGTGAAAAGTAAAGGGCAGAAGCAGATGGGAGATGTGGGTCTGACAGTCGCCACCACTAGTGAAAAGTAAAGGGCAGAAGCAGATGGAGATGTGGGTCTGACAGAGTCGCCACCACCAGTGAAAAGTAAATGGCAGAAGCAGATGGAGATGTGGGTCTGACAGTCGCCACCACCAGTGAAAAGTAAAGGGCAGAAGCAGATGGAGATGTGGGTCTGACAGAGTTGCCACCAGTGAAAAGTAAAGGGCAGAAGCAGATGGAGATGTGGGTCTGACAGTCGCCGCCACCAGTGAAAAGTAAAGGGCAGAAGCAGATGGAGATGTGGGTCTGACAGTCGCCGCCACCAGTGAAAAGTAAAGGGCGGAAGCAGATGGAGATGTGGGTCTGACAGAGTCGCCGCCACGAGTGAAAAGTAAAGGGCGGAAGCAGATGGAGATGTGGGTCTGACAGAGTCGCCGCCACCAGTGAAAAGTAAAGGGCAGAAGCAGATGGAGATGTGGGTCTGACAGAGTCGCCGCCACCAGTGAAAAGTAAAGGGCAGAAGCAGATGGAGATGTGGGTCTGACAGTCGCCACCACTAGTGAAAAGTAAAGGGCAGAAGCAGATGGAGATGTGGGTCTGACAGTCGCCGCCACCTGCCCATCAGGGAGCTCGGGAGCCCAGATTGCCGGCTGGAGGTGGTGGCACTGGGTTGAAAGGGCTGCGCCCTGGCACCCTCTTGCTCAGCCGTGGCTCTCAACCTGGGGGAGCCGGACCATGACAAAGCCAGCCTTACTCTTGGCGTCACTGGGCCTTCACTGAATGGGATCTGCGTCTGCTGTGCTCATTGTGAGGAAATGAGGAAATGCATAGAAATTGCTTGAAAGGAAACCAGCACCCAGCCAGTGTGAATCCATTTTGTTATTGTGAAAAGAGTTAATGGCCTTCAGAATGGTGAAGATGAAATTCGAATGGGAGGTTTTTATAGGTTTCAGAAGAATCATCTAATGTGTTGAGGTGTAACTTCAAAGACTTTGCTAGGCTGTTAAATTTACAAACTCTCTGGCCAGGCGTGGTGGCTCACGCCTGTAACCCAGCACTGTGGGAGGCTGAGGCGGGCGGATCGATTGAGGTCGGGAGTTCGAGACCAGCCTGGCCAACATGGTGAAACCCCATCTTTACTAAAAATAGAAAAATTAGCTGGGTGTGGTGGCGCGTGCCTATAGTCCCAGCTACTTGGGAGGCTGAGTCAGGAGAATCGCTTGAACTGGGAAGGCGGAGGTTGCAGTGAGCTGAGATCTCGCCATTGCACTCCAGCCTGGGAGACACAGCAAGACTCTGTCTCAAAAAAAAAAAATTTTTGTTTTATAAATTCTGTATAAATGTTTTGGGACTAAAGGAGACTTCATGCCTGTCTGGCTGTCCTAGATAGGGAAGGTGGCCCCTCCTACACAGTGATCTGTTGGCTTTTGTTGAGCACGCGCGTACCCTGGGTGGTGGCAGCAGACATAGAAGAAAATCTACTCCTTGTCCGTAAGAAATGTGCTGCCTGAGGCCTGCCCTGCCAGCTGTGGGTAGATGAGATGACTTAGAGCTGTGCTGTCCAATTTAGAAATAGAGTATCAGTCACATTCATAGGTCTAAAGGCTCTGGCAGCCTCATTGAAAAAAAGTAAAAAGGAGCAAATGAAATTAATAATATATTTTATTTAGTTCAGTATATCTAAAATTTCGTTGTAATCAATTGAAAAAAAAACTGGCTGGCACGATGGCTCATGCCTGTAATTCCAGCCCTTTGGGAGGCCGAGGTGGCTGGATCAGTTGAGGTCAGGAGTTTGAGACCAGCCTGACCAACATGGTGAAACCCCGTGTCTATTAAAAATACAAGAATTAGCTGGGCATGGTGGCGGGCACCTGTAATCCCAGCTACTCGGGAGGCTGAGGCAGGAGAATCGCTTGAACCTAGGAGGCAGAGGTTGCTGTGAGCCGAGATCGTGCCAGTGCACTACAGCCTGGGCGACAGAGTGAGACTCTGTCTCAGAAAAAAAAACTAAAAAAAAAACAAGGTACCGAGTTATTTTATACCAGGTCTTTGAAGTCTGGTGTGTGTGTCACACTTAAGAGTGAGTCTCACTTTGTACTGGCTGTTTCACTTGCTCACTGACCGCATGTGGCATGAGGCTGCTGTGTGAGCACTGCTGATTTAGAGCAACCCTTCTGTTGAAAACAGTTGATCAATTGATTGATCTATTGATTTACTGAGACAAGATCTTGCTCTGTTGACCAGGCTGCCCAGTGCAATCACAGCTCACCGCAGCCTCAACCCCCCGGGCTCAAGCCATCCTTCCACCTTGGCCTCCCAAGTAACTGGGACCACAGGCGCGCACCACCACGCCTGGCTAACATTTAAAAAAAGTTTTGTAGAGATGGGGTCTTGCCATGTTACCTAGGCTGGTTTCAAACTTATGCGCTCAAGCGATCGGTCTGCCTTGACCTCCCAAAGTGCTGGGATTATAGGCATGAGCCACTGCACCTGGCCCCTAGGAGTGCGGGTCCACTCGTGGGTGGAGGTGGGAGGCTGTTAAACAACCGACGTGCATAGAGTGGCCCCCACAACAGAGGCGTCAGCCAGGATGTCAGTGGTGCCAGGGCTGAGGAGCCTTGTCTAGAGGGATGATAGTCAAAGACTGGAGACCCCCTTCCACTGTGAACTGAAGGCCTCACCAGAGGGAATACCCGTAGGGCAGAGTGAACTGTCAGTGAGCCAGTCCTCTTCCAGACTTGCCGCTGGGTGTCTTGACATGGGGGTGCTCTACACAACCTCAAAATGTTGGGAAGGTTACAACCAGGGAAAGAATCGATATCCAACAAAAATACCTTTCAAGAATGAAGCTACCCTGTTTGAGTGGGGCATCACGAACCATCCTGCTTCAAGGGAGCCTGTGGGTCTGACTGCAGCTTCAGCTCTGACCTGGAGTTCTGGGGCTTCTCTGCGGGGCACCAGTCTGTAGGCTCCATTTTAGATAATAAAAATTGGCATATTCTGGGGTGGGCAGGATCTGGGGTTCACCTGCAGATGAACAGGGCAGGAAAAGCTTGATGGGGTGTTAGGGGAATCTGGTTGGCCTCAAAGGGAATTAATTTGGGGCCCTGTTCCTGAATTGGTAGGCAGCCTGCATGTAAGGCTGAAGTCGGTTTGGCCAGAGCATGGGCTGGAGTGCTACCACCCTGCTACATGGTCAATGCCACAGTCTCACTTTTCCTATTTTTTTTTAATAAAATGTTGTGAACAACAACAACAACAACAACAAAAATGAAGCTAAAAAATACCTGCCGAAGACAGAAATGGAAAGAATTTCCTACCAGAAGGCCTGTGTTAAAGGAAATGCCAAAGGAAATAATCCCAGATGGAAGCGTGGAGGTGGAAAGCATGGAACGGGCGGGAAATTAAAGGAAATAATCCCAGATGGAAGCGTGGAGGTGGAAAGCATGGAACGGGCGGGAAATTAAAGGAAATAATCCCAGATGGAAGCGTGGAGGTGGAAAGCATGGAACGGGCGGGAAATTAAAGGAAATAATCCCAGATGGAAGCGTGGAGGTGGAAAGCATGGAACGGGCGGGAAATTAAAGGAAATAATCCCAGATGGAAGCGTGGAGGTGGAAAGCATGGAACGGGCGGGAAATTAAAGGAAATAATCCCAGATGGAAGCGTGGAGGTGGAAAGCATGGAACGGGCGGGAAATTAAAGGAAATAATCCCAGATGGAAGCGTGGAGGTGGAAAGCATGGAACGGGCGGGAAATTAAAGGAAATAATCCCAGATGGAAGCGTGGAGGTGGAAAGCATGGAACGGGCGGGAAATTAAAGGAAATAATCCCAGATGGAAGCGTGGAGGTGGAAAGCATGGAACGGGTGGGAAATTAAAGGAAATAATCCCAGATGGAAGCGTGGAGGTGGAAAGCATGGAACGGGCGGGAAATTAAAGGAAATAATCCCAGATGGAAGCGTGGAGGTGGAAAGCATGGAACGGGCGGGAAATTAAAGGAAATAATCCCAGATGGAAGCGTGGAGGTGGAAAGCATGGAACGGGCGGGAAATTAAAGGAAATAATCCCCGATGGAAGCGTGGAGGTGGAAAGCATGGAACGGGCGGGAATGAAGGAAATAATCCCAGATGGAAGCGTGGAGGTGGAAAGCATGGAACGGGCGGGAAATTAAAGGAAATAATCCCAGAGAGGAAGCGTGGAGGTGGAAAGCATGGAACGGGCGGGAAATTAAAGGAAATAATCCCAGATGGAAGCGTGGAGGTGGAAAGCATGGAACGGGCGGGAAATTAAAGGAAATAATCCCAGATGGAAGCGTGGAGGTGGAAAGCATGGAACGGGTGGGAAATTAAAGGAAATAATCCCAGATGGAAGCGTGGAGGTGGAAAGAATGGAATGGGCAGGACAGCGGGAGATGTGTAGGTAACGCCAGTGTGTTGTGTCTCGTGGTTATGTCTGTCTGTGGAGTTTCTTCAGTAGTGCAGTGAACTTCACAGAGTTGAAACCGTATTTTGTTTGCCCTCAAGAAGACTGTATTGTTCTAATGGGGTTTCCCTACCAGAAGGCCCTGTGTTAAGGAAATGCCAAAGGAAATAATCCCCAGAAGGAAGCGTGGAGGTGGAAAGCATGGAACGGGCGGGAAATTAAAGGAAATAATCCCAGATGGAAGCGTGGAGGTGGAAAGCATGGAACGGGCGGGAAATTAAAGGAAATAATCCCAGATGGAAGCGTGGAGGTGGAAAAGCATGGAACGGGCGGGAAATTAAAGGAAATAATCCCAGATGGAAGCGTGGAGGTGGAAAGCATGGAACGGGCGGGAAATTAAAGGAAATAATCCCAGATGGAAGCGTGGAGGTGGAAAGCATGGAACGGGCGGGAAATTAAAGGAAATAATCCCAGATGGAAGCGTGGAGATGGAAAGCATGGAACGGGCGGGAAATTAAAGGAAATAATCCCAGATGGAAGCGTGGAGGTGGAAAGCATGGAACGGGCGGGAAATTAAAGGAAATAATCCCAGATGGAAGCGTGGAGGTGGAAAGCATGGAACGGGTGGGAAATTAAAGGAAATAATCCCAGATGGAAGCGTGGAGATGGAAAGCATGGAACGGGCGGGAAATTAAAGGAAATAATCCCAGATGGAAGCGTGGAGATGGAAAGCATGGAACGGGCGGGAAATTAAAGGAAATAATCCCAGATGGAAGCGTGGAGATGGAAAGCATGGAACGGGCGGGAAATTAAAGGAAATAATCCCAGATGGAAGCGTGGAGGTGGAAAGCATGGAACGGGCGGGAAATTAAAGGAAATAATCCCAGATGGAAGCGTGGAGATGGAAAGCATGGAACGGGCGGGAAATTAAAGGAAATAATCCCAGATGGAAGCGTGGAGGTGGAAAGCATGGAACGGGTGGGAAATTAAAGGAAATAATCCCAGATGGAAGCGTGGAGATGGAAAGCATGGAACGGGTGGGAAATTAAAGGAAATAATCCCAGATGGAAGCGTGGAGGTGGAAAGCATGGAACGGGCGGGAAATTAAAGGAAATAATCCCAGATGGAAGCGTGGAGATGGAAAGCATGGAACGGGCGGGAAATTAAAGGAAATAATCCCAGATGGAAGCGTGGAGGTGGAAAGCATGGAACGGGCGGGAAATTAAAGGAAATAATCCCAGATGGAAGCGTGGAGATGGAAAGCATGGAACGGGCGGGAAATTAAAGGAAATAATCCCAGATGGAAGCGTGGAGGTGGAAAGCATGGAACGGGCGGGAAATTAAAGGAAATAATCCCAGATGGAAGCGTGGAGATGGAAAGCATGGAACGGGCGGGAAATTAAAGGAAATAATCCCAGATGGAAGCGTGGAGGTGGAAAGCATGGAACGGGTGGGAAATTAAAGGAAATAATCCCAGATGGAAGCGTGGAGATGGAAAGCATGGAACGGGTGGGAAATTAAAGGAAATAATCCCAGATGGAAGCGTGGAGGTGGAAAGCATGGAACGGGCGGGAAATTAAAGGAAATAATCCCAGATGGAAGCGTGGAGATGGAAAGCATGGAACGGGCGGGAAATTAAAGGAAATAATCCCAGATGGAAGCGTGGAGATGGAAAGCATGGAACGGGCGGGAAATTAAAGGAAATAATCCCAGATGGAAGCGTGGAGATGGAAAGCATGGAACGGGCGGGAAATTAAAGGAAATAATCCCAGATGGAAGCGTGGAGGTGGAAAGCATGGAACGGGCGGGAAATTAAAGGAAATAATCCCAGATGAAAGCGGGGAGATGGAAACCCTGAAACGGGCGGGAAATTAAAGAAAATAATCCCCAGATGAAAGCGTGAGGTGGAAAGCATGAGAACGGGTGGGAAATTAAAGGAAAATATTCCCAGATGGGAAGCGTGGAGATGGAAAAGCATGGAACGGGTGGGAAAATTAAAAGGAAATAATCCCAGATGGAAAGCGTGGAGGTGGAAAAGCATGGAACGGGCGGGAAATTAAAAGGAAATAATCCCAGATGGAAGCGTGGAGATGGAAAGCATGGAAACGGGCGGGAAATTAAAGGAAATAATCCCAGATGGAAGCGTGGAGATGGAAAGCATGGAACGGGCGGGAAATTAAAGGAAATAATCCCAGATGGAAGCGTGGAGATGGAAAGCATGGAACGGGCGGGAAATTAAAGGAAATAATCCCAGATGGAAGCGTGGAGGTGGAAAGCATGGAACGGGTGGGAAATTAAAGGAAATAATCCCAGATGGAAGCGTGGAGATGGAAAGCATGGAACGGGCGGGAAATTAAAGGAAATAATCCCAGATGGAAGCGTGGAGGTGGAAAGCATGGAACGGGCGGGAAATTAAAGGAAATAATCCCAGATGGAAGCGTGGAGGTGGAAAGCATGGAACGGGCGGGAAATTAAAGGAAATAATCCCAGATGGAAGCGTGGAGGTGGAAAGCATGGAACGGGCGGGAAATTAAAGGAAATAATCCCAGATGGAAGCGTGGAGGTGGAAAGCATGGAACGGGCGGGAAATTAAAGGAAATAATCCCAGATGGAAGCGTGGAGGTGGAAAGCATGGAACGGGCGGGAAATTAAAGGAAATAATCCCAGATGGAAGCGTGGAGGTGGAAAGCATGGAACGGGCGGGAAATTAAAGGAAATAATCCCAGATGGAAGCGTGGAGGTGAAAAGCATGGAACGGGCGGGAAATTAAAGGAAATAATCCCAGATGGAAGCGTGGAGGTGGAAAGCATGGAACGGGCGGGAAATTAAAGGAAATAATCCCAGATGGAAGCGTGGAGGTGGAAAGCATGGAACGGGCGGGAAATTAAAGGAAATAATCCCAGATGGAAGCGTGGAGGTGGAAAGCATGGAACGGGCGGGAAATTAAAGGAAATAATCCCAGATGGAAGCGTGGAGGTGGAAAGCATGGAACGGGCGGGAAATTAAAGGAAATAATCCCAGATGGAAGCGTGGAGGTGGAAAAGCATGGAACGGGCGGGAAATTAAAGGAAATAATCCCAGATGGAAGCGTGGAGGTGGAAAGCATGGAACGGGCGGGAAATTAAAGGAAATAATCCCAGATGGAAGCGTGGAGGTGGAAAGCATGGAACGGGCGGGAAATTAAAGGAAATAATCCCAGATGGAAGCGTGGAGGTGGAAAGCATGGAACGGGCGGGAAATTAAAGGAAATAATCCCAGATGGAAGCGTGGAGGTGGAAAGCATGGAACGGGCGGGAAATTAAAGGAAATAATCCCAGATGGAAGCGTGGAGGTGGAAAGCATGGAACGGGCGGGAAATTAAAGGAAATAATCCCAGATGGAAGCGTGGAGGTGGAAAGCATGGAACGGGCGGGAAATTAAAGGAAATAATCCCAGATGGAAGCGTGGAGGTGGAAAGCATGGAACGGGCGGGAAATTAAAGGAAATAATCCCAGATGGAAGCGTGGAGGTGGAAAGCATGGAACGGGCGGGAAATTAAAGGAAATAATCCCAGATGGAAGCGTGGAGGTGGAAAGCATGGAACGGGCGGGAAATTAAAGGAAATAATCCCAGATGGAAGCGTGGAGGTGGAAAGCATGGAACGGGCGGGAAATTAAAGGAAATAATCCCAGATGGAAGCGTGGAGGTGGAAAGCATGGAACGGGCGGGAAATTAAAGGAAATAATCCCAGATGGAAGCGTGGAGGTGGAAAGCATGGAACGGGTGGGAAATTAAAGGAAATAATCCCAGATGGAAAGCGTGGAGGTGGAAAGAATGGAATGGGCAGGACAGCGGGAGATGTGTAGGTAACGCCAGTGTGTTGTGTCTCGTGGTTATGTCTGTCTGTGGAGTTTCTTCAGTAGTGCAGTGAACTTCAGAGAGTGGAAAGCATGGAACGGGCGGGAAATTAAAGGAAATATCCCAGATGGAAGCGTGGAGGTGGAAAGCATGGAACGGGCGGGAAATTAAAGGAAATAATCCCAGATGGAAGCGTGGAGGTGGAAAGCATGGAACGGGCGGGAAATTAAAGGAAATAATCCCAGATGGAAGCGTGGAGGTGGAAAGCATGGAACGGGCGGGAAATTAAAGGAAATAATCCCAGATGGAAGCGTGGAGGTGGAAAGCATGGAACGGGCGGGAAATTAAAGGAAATAATCCCAGATGGAAGCGTGGAGGTGGAAAGCATGGAACGGGCGGGAAATTAAAGGAAATAATCCCAGATGGAAGCGTGGAGGTGGAAAGCATGGAACGGGCGGGAAATTAAAGGAAATAATCCCAGATGGAAGCGTGGAGGTGGAAAGCATGGAACGGGCGGGAAATTAAAGGAAATAATCCCAGATGGAAGCGTGGAGGTGGAAAGCATGGAACGGGCGGGAAATTAAAGGAAATAATCCCAGATGGAAGCGTGGAGGTGGAAAGCATGGAACGGGCGGGAAATTAAAGGAAATAATCCCAGATGGAAGCGTGGAGGTGGAAAGCATGGAACGGGCGGGAAATTAAAGGAAATAATCCCAGATGGAAGCGTGGAGGTGGAAAGCATGGAACGGGCGGGAAATTAAAGGAAATAATCCCAGATGGAAGCGTGGAGGTGGAAAGCATGGAACGGGCGGGAAATTAAAGGAAATAATCCCAGATGGAAGCGTGGAGGTGGAAAGCATGGAACGGGTGGGAAATTAAAGGAAATAATCCCAGATGGAAGCGTGGAGGTGGAAAGAATGGAATGGGCAGGACAGCGGGAGATGTGTAGGTAACGCCAGTGTGTTGTGTCTCGTGGTTATGTCTGTCTGTGGAGTTTCTTCAGTAGTGCAGTGAACTTCAGAGAGTTGAAACCGTATTTGTTTGCCATCAAGAAGACTGTAGGCCCAAATGGCTTCCCTGTGATCTTTATCCTTTAATGAGGGTTGTTAGGTGTGACCATCTGATGTGTGGCCTAAGGTGTGTGGAGAAAAGTGTTCATGTCAGTCCCAACTTTGGCTTTAAGGGAGTCTCCCCTCTGGGCTCTTCCTACCTCTGCTATGGTAAGGATGTGCTTTGGGTGGTGTGGGCCTGGAGCAGAGCCATGCACAGCAGGCCCGTCCAGATCTGACGGTGTCTTGACGGTGGCCCCGGCTGACCTGCAGACGCATGGGCAAGAAATCAGTGCTTATGTGCACCTGCCATGCTAGTGGGAGCCCAGGGGAGTTACTGGGATGTTCACAGGTGTGCCTTCCATCTTTAAGCCTTTAGAAAACAACTGTTGTGTTCTCATACTCTACAGAGACATGGTAGTTTCTTTCTTTTTTAAAGAGACAGGGTCTTGTTCTGTTGCCCAGGCTGGAGTGCTGTGGCATGATCCTAACTCACTGCAGCCTTGACTTCCTGGGCTCAGGTGATCCTCCTGCTTCCACCTCCCGAGTGGCTAGGGCTACAGGTGTGCACCACCACGCCCAGCAAATTGTAAAACTTGTAGAGATGGGGTCTCGCTGTGTTTCCTAGGCTGATCACAAATTCATGGCCTCAGGTGAACTCACCCACCTCAAGTGAATCCTCCCAAAAGTGCTGGGATTACAGGCGTAAGCCACTGCACCTGACTGGGAATTTCTTATGACTGATCATCTCCAGGAGTTTCCCAGGTTGTGCACATTAATTTGCTAAATAGGCCAGGCGCGGTGGCTCGTGCCTATAATCCTAGCACTTTGGGAGGCCGAGGCAGGCAGATCACTTAAGCTCAGGAGTTCAAGACCATCCTGGGCAACGTGGTGAAACCCTAAAAATCTCTACTAAAAGTACAAAAAATTAGCCGTGTGTGGTTGCACATGCCTGTGGTCCCAGCTACTTGGGAGGCTGAGGTGGGAGGATCACTTGAGCCTAGGAGGTTGAGGCTGCAGTGAGCTGTGGTCATGCCACTGCACTCCAGTCTGGGTGGCAGAGGGAGACCTTGTCTCCAGACAAAACACTTTACTTTTTCTTTCACTTGGGCAGCCTGTTTTTCATTTTACCGTGAGTTTGCTTGATTATTAATTCATTGATGTAAAAGGCAAAGACTGAGCAACTGCCTTGTGCCACACACTGTTGTTGGGGCTGGTGTGCATTGGTGAGGAAGTGGAAGGAGTTCCCACCCTGCCCCCGAGGGTGTGAGCCTCATGCAGGCTGTGTGGGTTGGAGAGTGTAGAGCCAGCAGTGCCTCTGGCTGGTGACCAGATGGCTGGTGGCCAGTCAGGGCACTGTCCCTTTTCCCAACTTTCAGGTCAAGAGAAGGCCTGGAGGCTCTGGTTCCTGACTCACTCTCCAGTTTATCTTATTCTACTTGATATTTTGTTATAAAAAAATACCAGGCCAGGCGTGGTGGCTCACGCCTGTAATCCCAGCACTTTAGGAGGCCGAGGAGGGCAGATCACGAGGTCAGGAGTTTGAGACCAGCCTGGCCAACATGGTGAAACCCCATCTCTACTAAAAATAAAAAAATTGGCCGGGTGTGGTGGCGTGTGCCTGTAATCCCAGCTACTCGGGAGGCAGAGGCACGAGAATCGCTTGAACCTGGGAGGTGGAGGTTGCAGTGAGCCAAGATTGCACCACTGCACTCCAGCCTGGGCAGCAGAGCAAGACTGTCTGGGAAAAACAAAACAAAAATAACCAAGCAGGTTTCAGTCATTATGAGGTAGACATTTTGTCACATTTTATCGTCTGTGAAGTCTGTGTGCATCTGATGAGTCAGCGAAAGATGGTGCTCATGAACCTGTGTTGTGACCTTACGTTGCCTCAGACACCTGATGCTCCGTCCGTGCTGTGCTGTTTCATTTTATTTTTTTATTTTATTTTATTTTTTTGAGATGGAGTCTCGCTCTGTCACCCAGGCTGGAGTGCAGTGGCGCGATCTCGGCTCACTGCAACCTCTGCCTCCCGGGTTCATGCCATTCTCCTTCCTCAGCCTCCCGAGTAGCTGGGACTACAGGCGCCCGCCACCACGCCCGGCTTATTTTTGTATTTTTAGTAGAGACAGGATTTCACCGTGTTAGTCAGGATGGTCTCTATCTCCTGACCTCATGATCCTCCTGCCTCAGCCTCCCAAAGTGCTGGGATTACAGGCGTGAGCCACCATGCGCGGCCCTGTTTCATTTTTATAGTAACCTGCTGAGAAAGTTGGGCTCAGAGAGGTTAAGGAATACGTCTGAGACCACAAGACAAGCAAGTGGCTGCATCTTTCAGACTGGAGCCCAAACTTAATCGTGATCCTTTTATGGTTTAGGATGAGGTTTTCCAGCCATCTCTCCTCTGATCTGCACAAACCAAGGAGACAGATATTACTGTTATCCTCTGCCTTTTATAGCTCAGAATATTAAAGTTCAACTCAACATTTTGAAATTACTAGAATAAAAAAGTAATTCTAGCCCAGTACTGAAACCAGCATTTTGAAGACTGTATCAGTCTGGGTCCTTTCAGGAGGGATAAACTTCACAGTGGCACCTGCCAGGGGAGCTGGCGGGCTCACCTGCCACCTGCCCCACCGAGATGGGTGAGGGTGTGGAGCGAGCATTGCTGCTTGTTTCCTGTGGCCCTGGGTTAGGCCAGGAATCCACGTGCTGCCACATGAGCAGCGGGCCGAGCACTGTGGCTTTCTCCTCGCGCTGGCGACTTCCGCTGCCCCTCACGGTGCTTATGCAACAGGGGTGGTGTGCCCAGGGGAGTGCTCTGTGACATCTCTGGGAGGCCCAGAGGTGATCCTGCATCACCCTCACTGACCAGTGGGCTCAGCTTCTAAAGGTGGGCCTAAGTTTCCCAGCACCCGGGAGCTCTAGAGCAGCTCTTCGTCTGGGGTCCCGCGGGAGCAGAGGCTGGTCGGCTCCTCTCGGAGAGAGCCTGTCTCCGTCTCCGCCCCTGTTTCCATCCCCGTCCCCATCCCTGTCCCACAAAACTCAGCCCAGTCGGGCCGCTGGTCCTCTCCCCTGTCAGTTATTTTTTCCTTTGAGAGGTGCTTTGAGTAACAGGGAAGTCTCCGGAGGGAGGAGGAGGTCAAGCAGTATTTTTGGCTGTGGTTGTCCAAGGCGGCTTCCAGCGGGTGATGGAATCTGGGCTGGGTAGGAGACACGGTGCTGGGGCTTCCCAGTGGAGGATCTCTGCTGCGCAGCCCGTGCTCAGCTGTGTGTGCCCTCCTGCACAAACAGGGCACGGAGAACGTGTCTGCTGGGACCCCTTGGGCACAGCAAGCAGATAAGTGGGTCGGGGCCGGGGGAGGGAGGAACCAGGTCGGGTCTGCTTTTATTTATATCATCTGGTCTTTTAAATTATGTTAATTTGCCGCTGACAAGGAGGGGGGTTTCTCATGAGCTCCTCAGAGTGCAGCATGCAGCTGACTGGCCGACTGGTGATGCACCGTTCCCCAGGAAATGTGGCCGGTCTGTATTCTACACAGTTGAGGTCGTCCGTGGAGGTGTGAGCGCCCCAGCCCTTCACAAGAAGGGGGCCAGAGCGGCTGTCGCAGCTGGGCTGTCTTCCCAGCCTGCGTTCCTTCACGCTGTGGCAGCAGAGTCTCTGTGAGACTCGGCCTGCACAAGGCCACCTTTCTCGCTCGCCTCCACAGCCTGCTGGAGGCTGGCTCTGAGGGACACTCCCTCACCTCTCAGGTGGGATAGAAACTCCTGGCAATGTAGAACGGCCTTTTTTTTTTTTTTTTTTTTTTTGAGATGGAGTTTTGCTCTTGTTGCCCAGGCTGGAGTGCAATGGTGTGGTCTTGGCTCACCGCAACCTCCGCCTCCCAGGTTCAAGCAATTCTCTGCCTCAGCCTCCCGAGTAGCTGGGATTACAGGCATGCACCACCACGCCTGGCTAATTTTGTATTTTTACTAGAGATGGTGTTTCTCCATGTTGAGGCTGGTCTCGAACTCCTGACCTCAGGTGATCCACCTGCCTCGGCCTCCCAAAGTTCTGGGATTACAGGCGTGAGCCACCGCGCCGGGCCCAGAATGGCCCTTTTTTTAAGGGTTGGTTTTATATTTTGGAATTTTATATTCTGCCAATTACATGTTTTGAACCTGCCCTGCCATGATCCCTTGTGAGGGGCTCAGACAAACTGCGATGAGGCAGAGAAACAGAAGCCCTAGGGGCCGTCGCGTGTGGGCCTTGTTTTCATGACCAGCTGATTTGCCCTAGAATGGCTATGAAGTGGCAGATAATTTAGACTGTGTTCATATGCCTAAATTAAACTGATTTCAAAGACAAGCTTGATGGTTGAAGGCAGGGTTTGCAAGTTCTATCACAGCAGGGCCCTCTGTGGGATTTTGGCTGGTCGGAGTGAGGCCCTGTGAGGGCCAGCTGGGCTGCACCTGCCCAGGGTTGTCGTGGGAGGGTAGAACTCTTGTTGCCAGATGTTCTGGTGCCTGTTTTTAAAAGGGAAATAAAAAACTTGGACTCTCATGAGTACCATGAGTTTAGAAAGGTTATTCATGCTCAGCAGCGTCTGCATTGCACCTGCCTGGGCCCGGCCACCCCTCTCCTGGAGGCTTGTCCGTGCTGCCTGCTGTACTGCTGCACTGCCCTCTGCTCTCCCCTCTCCCCTGCCTCTGCCCGCCTGGAATAAAACCTCTTCCCCACCTTTTCTGTAGGTGACAAGGCTCTTGATGGCTATAGTAAAAAAAAGTACGTCTGCAAGTTGCTCTTCATCTTTCTCCTTGGTCATGACATTGACTTTGGACACATGGAGGCTGTGAACCTGCTGAGTTCAAACAGATACACGGAAAAGCAGATCGTGAGTATCGCTGCAGGTGGAGACGGCAGAGGATGGCGTGGGCCTGGCAGGACTGAGGCCCCGTGCCCGTGTAGGGCCGCTGCTTCCTTCTCTACCCACAGCTGACGTGAGCCACGTGGGTCTGCTGCAGATGGAGACGCGTGCCCAGTCCTTGTTAGCACCTGCTGCCAACACCCTGAGGGCCCCCTTCCCGCCCAATCTGGGTGTTCTTCAGGAAGCCCTGATGCCCTCACAGGGTTCCTCCTCCTGCATGCGGTTTTCCTGATGAGGTGGCCATGCCTTTTCCTCCTTTCTTCGCAACCTCCCTTACGGCGAGTTTCAGGACTGCCCGGTTGGTCTGGAGAGTGCCGCACGCGGCCCAGCGTTTGATGTGGTTGGTGCTCTGTGCCCATGAGGTCGGCCTCCAGAGGAGGGGAGGATGTCTCCCTGACACAGTGCCTTGTTGACGCACTGTCCCAAGTAGACCCGTCCCGTGGTCCCTTGGACAGCTTTGTTTCTGCAGTAGGCGCTGGAGGCACATGGCTGGGTCTTGGTGCGGAGGGTGCTCACCCCACCATCTCCCCAGCCCTTGCCGGGCTGGTGCACAGTGTCCTGTCACTCTACTTTTGAAGTCTTCTTGGGCTCTGCACGTTGAGCTGTGTAGTCTCTTGCAGTCACATTATTTCTATGTTTTCCCTGGTGGTATAAAGTAATATTTTCTTCCATTTGTCAAAAAATTTAACTTAGAGAAATTAAGAGAGACTGTAGATGTCTTGGGGTTTTGATAAGTATTGGTGTTTATTCAAGCATTTGTGGAGTGCCTGTGGTGTGTTGGGGGGATGGGGGATTAGCCTTGAGGACGGAGGCACAGGGACCGGAACTTGGGCCTGCCCTTGTCCTGGGGGAGATGGGTGTCACATGGCTCCACAGACATAGAAGTTGAAAGGATTTGAGAGAGGGAGTGGAGGTGGGTGTGTTGAGCTGAGGCTGGAGGGAGGGGAAGTTAACTGGGGGCTGAGGGTGGGAGGAGCAGGGAGAGCAGAGCAGGTGGTGCCTGGCAGTGGCCTGGGCGTGCGAGCGCAGGGCTGAAAGGGCAGTGGTGTTTGGCAGGGCGGGAGCTCCCTCGTGGCGTCTTCCTGGGAGCCGTGGGAGGCTGGGTACATCTTTAACCGGGGTGCTCAGTGATGGGCCTGGAGAAAACCACTGTTTCCCTCCAGGTGGGGAGGGTGTCACCTTCGAGGATGGCTGGGAAGAAGTGGCAGTGACACAGGACTGGGGTTTGCCCTGGGTCAGTGGGGGTGGAGGGGGGCAGCATGAGGCTGTGACACAGGCAGATTAAAGAGTGGGAGGGAACAGGCAGCCGGGTTTCTGGAAATCATTGTAGCTAAAATCAGCCTCTCAGTGAAGGTTCCTGCCCATCTTAACTTGAGGATAGTGTGATGTCCGGAACACTCAGACGCGTGGCCCACAGTGAAGTGAGTGGGACCGGGGGGTCCAGTTCCTGTTGGCATCTGGCTCGTGGCACGCTAGTCAGGTGTGCCCCACAGGAACGCTGCGCCATGAGAGCATCGTAGCAGAGGCATCCTCGGTTCCACTGGAACAGACGTTTGCCGAATCCTGAGAGGCGCCGCTCCCACAGCAGTGCCCTGGGTGCGTGGGTGGTGCCTGGGCTGCTTCCGCATCTGTGTGTCACTGATTGTTGGGTGACTCAGGGCCACAGGTGGACTTGGATTGTCATGAGCTTTCTCTTCTCCTGTCTTTTGGAACGCAGGGCTACCTTTTCATCTCTGTGTTGGTGAACTCAAACAGTGAGCTGATCCGCCTGATCAACAACGCCATCAAGAATGACCTGGCCAGCCGCAACCCCACCTTCATGGGCCTGGCCCTGCACTGCATCGCCAGCGTGGGCAGCCGGGAGATGGCCGAGGCCTTCGCCGGGGAGATCCCTAAGGTCCTCGTAGCCGGGTATGTGCCGGGCTTGTGCCGGGCTCCTGCTGAAGATGTGCTGCTTTCATGCCAAATACATCAAATATGGAGCTGCTTAGCCTAGGAAATGTTTTACTCTCCCCATCTTATGGGAGATGAGATGTAGCCTAAGGTGGGATCCAGAATTACAAGTTTAGGCCGGGCACGGTGGCTCACGCCTCTAATCCCAGGACCGTAGGAGGCCAAGGTGGGAGAATCGCTTGAGCCCAGGAGTTCAAGACCAGCCTGGGCAACATAGGGAGATCCCATCTCTACAAACAGTTTTAAAAAATTAGCCAGTTGTGGTGGCGTGCTCCTGTCGTCCCAGCTACTTGGTAGGCTGAGGCGGGAGGATTGCTTGAGCCCAGGAAGTCAAGGCTGCAGTGAGCCGTGTTCATGCCTTGGAGACTCCAGCCTGGGCGACAGAGCGAGACCCTGTCTCCAAAGCAAAAAGAGAATTACAAGTTTAGATTTCAATTAAAGTGCAATCTAATACCACTGAGATTCAAAACACAGATCAAAGAAGAACGCCCACACCCTGCCAGCAAAACCAAGAAGGGGCTTCAGCCCCGCAGGGCACTGGGTAGAACGATGCATCTCTGGGCAGCTCCTCCTCGTGCCCGTTCCCCAGGGCTTCACGCGGAGAAGCCGAGCACCGCGCCGGAGCGCCCTCGGCCATCCGTTCCGTCCCTTGTTAATTTGGAGAGAAGCCTCGAGGGGCTGAGTCACCAGCTCTGGAAGAGCTTAAAGCAACCCTGGGGTGTCTGTGCCACAGGCAGGGCCCCCACCTGTGTGTTCCAGGATACCCTGCGGAGTTGGGAAACTGACCCCTCGCCCACACGGTGCCACCCGGCTGAGCTAGGCCTCAGGCCACGGGAGAGTGGGTGGACATCCACCCAGACCACACAGTGAGGACTGGAGACAAGGTGGTGGGAAGGCATGAGAGAAACAGGCCTAGACCGGCGTCTCAACTGGGCCACATTGGCTTTGTGAGGGTACTGGGCCGTGTCTTGGGGCATTTTTGGTTGTCACAGTGGGTAGAGACCAGGGTGCTGCACCCCACACCACTCAGGATGCTCCACAACAGAGAATGAGGCAGCCTTCTATCAGCTGTGAGGCGAGGACGTCCCACAATAGAGAATGAGGCAGCCTCCTGTCAGCTGTGAGGCAAGGAGGAGCCCGGCTGGCAGAGAGACCGCAGCATAACCACGAGAAGACAGATATTCAGAAGCGCAAGAGCTCAGAGATGGGTGACCCCACAGTAGGATGGACAGGAGCAGAACCACCGAGCCGGGGGAGCAGGCGCAGTGCCTGAAGGCACCGTTGCTCCTCAGGCCATTCAGTCATAGGTGGCAGAGCATGTGGGCGCCCCGAAAACAGGGTGCCCAAGATGGAAGGAAGGCTCGAATGATCACAGGGCGCTGGTGCAGGAGAGGGAGGGTGGGGCTGGGGGTCGAAACCAGCCAGCAGGTCCAGTGGATTCTGCCTCAGGGCCACGGCCTCCTGGCCCTCCCTCTCCTCCTGCCCCCAGGGTTGTTGCTTGCCTGTTTATTACCTGTTTCCACCCTCGGGGTGGAAGCTTCCTGGGCTCTGAGGTTTCTGTCCACTGTGGTGGCCGCTTTACAAACCCAGCATCTTGAACAGTACCAGGTCCCTAGTAGGTGCTTGGTGGATGTCTGCGCGTGAGCGGAATGCAAGACAGGGCCACCCCTGAGGCACGTGCAGATTGATGAAGTGGGGCACTACCTGAACCGAGGACCTGCTGCAGGAGCCAGGGACGGAGGAGGGAGGAGCCAGGGTGAGGAGGGGTCTCCAGGGGCCAGTGCAGTGCATCTGCGGCTGGAAGGGAGCAGGTGGCCAGTGCACAGCATCTGCAGCCAGAAGGGAGCAGGTGGCCCGTGTTCTGGTGCCTGAGTGGTCCCATGAAGGGAGTGGGTGGCCCGTGTTCTGGTGCCTGAGTGGTCCCATGAAGGGAGTGGGTGGCCCGTGTTCTGGTGCCTGAGTGGTCCCATGGGGATGAAGGTCACAGGCAGGGTTCTCCTACCTCAGAGAGCTCAGGTAACATGGTACCCATGGGCCTTCCTTGAAGAAAAGGGCTAGTTGTTGAAATCCAGCTAAGTAGTAGATGACTCAAAGTAATATGCTAAGGCTGGGCACAGTGGCTCACGCATGTAATCCCAGCACTTGGAAGGCCAAGGTGGGCGGGCCTGAGGTCAGGAGTTTGAGACCAGCCCGGCCAACATGGCGAAACCCCGTCTCTACTAAAAATACAAAAATTAGCTGGGTGTGGTGGTGCTCACCTGTAGTCCCAGCTACTCAGAAGGCTTGAGGCAGGAGAATCGCTTGAACCCAGGAGGCGGAGGCTGCAGTAAGTTGGAGATTGCACCACTACACACCAGCCTGGGCAACAGAATAAGACTCTGTCTCAAAAAAAAAAAAAAAAAAAAGAAAGAAAGCTGGGCATGGTGGCTCATGCCTGTAATCCCAGTACTTTGGGAGGCTGAGACGGGCAGATCATGAGTTCAAGAGCTCGAGACCATCCTGGCCAACATGGTGAAACCCCGTCTCTACTAAAAACAGAAAAATTAGCTGGGCATGGTGGCGCCCTCCTGTAGTCCCAGTTACTCAGGAGGCTGAGGCAGGAGAATCGCTTGAACCCGGGAGGCGGAGGCTGCAGTGAGCCGAGATTGCTCCACTGTACTCCAGCCTGGCGAAAGAGCGAGACTCTGTCTCAAAAACAAAAACAAAAACATGCTCGGGAAGGAGGTGCTGTCATTGGAGGACTGCTGGTGTGTGTGTCACCTAGAAATGGAAGGACAGAGTAGGTGCTGAGGAGGTCAGGTCATTCCTAGGGCCAGAGGTAGGGACGGGAGGCAGCGGCCAAGGCAGAAGAGTGGGGTGGTGTCTCTGCTGGGATGGACGGAGTTGGTGGAAAGAGAACCCGTGGAGGTGCAGAGTAGCCGTGGGGTCCTCGGTCTCCCTCGTGTGAGCCGACATTAGCGAGTAGCTGTAGGGTCCTCGGTATCCCTCGTGTGAGCCGACATCGGAGAGTAGCAGTGGGGTCCTCGGTCTCCCTCGTGTGAGCTGACGTCGGAGAGTAGTGGTGGGGTCCTCGGTCTCCCTCTTACGAGCCGACATTAGTGAGTAGCAGTGGGGTCCTCGGTCTCCCTTGTGTGAGCCGACGTCGGAGAGCAGCGGTGGGGTCCTCGGTCTCCCTCGTGTGAGCCGACATCGGAGAGTAGTGGTGGGGTCCTCGGTCTCCCTCTTACGAGCCGACATTAGTGAGTAGCAGTGGGGTCCTCGGTCTCTCTTGTGTGAGCTGACATCGGAGAGTAGCAGTGGGGTCCTCGGTCTCCCTCGTGTGAGCCGACATCGGAGAGTAGCGGTGGGGTCCTCGGTCTCCCTCGTGTGAGCCGACATCGGAGAGTAGTGGTGGGGTCCTCGGTCTCCCTCTTACGAGCCGACATTAGTGAGTAGCAGTGGGGTCCTCGGTCTCCCTTGTGTGAGCCGACGTCGGAGAGCAGCGGTGGGGTCCTCGGTCTCCCTCGTGTGAGCCGACATCGGAGAGTAGTGGTGGGGTCCTCGGTCTCCCTCTTACGAGCCGACATTAGTGAGTAGCAGTGGGGTCCTCGGTCTCTCTTGTGTGAGCTGACATCGGAGAGTAGCAGTGGGGTCCTCGGTCTCCCTCGTGTGAGCCGACATCGGAGAGTAGCGGTGGGGTCCTCGGTCTCCCTCGTGTGAGCCGACATCGGAGAGTAGTGGTGGGGTCCTCGGTCTCCCTCTTACGAGCCGACATTAGTGAGTAGCAGTGGGGTCCTCGGTCTCCCTCGTGTGAGCCGACGTCGGAGAGTAGCGGTGGGGTCCTCGGTCTCCCTCGTGTGAGCCGACGTCGGAGAGTAGCGGTGGGGTCCTCGGTCTCCCTCGTGTGAGCCGACGTCGGAGAGTAGCGGTGGGGTCCTCGGTCTCCCTCGTGTGAGCCGACGTCGGAGAGTAGCGGTGGGGTCCTCGGTCTCCCTCGTGTGAGCCGACGTCGGAGAGTAGCGGTGGGGTCCTCGGTCTCCCTCGTGTGAGCCGACGTCGGAGAGTAGCGGTGGGGTCCTCGGTCTCCCTCGTGTGAGCCGACGTCGGAGAGTAGCGGTGGGGTCCTCGGTCTCCCTCGTGTGAGCCGACGTCGGAGAGTAGCGGTGGGGTCCTCGGTCTCCCTCGTGTGAGCCGACGTCGGAGAGTAGCGGTGGGGTCCTCGGTCTCCCTCGTGTGAGCCGACGTCGGAGAGTAGCGGTGGGGTCCTCGGTCTCCCTCGTGTGAGCCGACGTCGGAGAGTAGCGGTGGGGTCCTCGGTCTCCCTCGTGTGAGCCGACCTCGGAGAGTAGCGGTGGGGTCCTCGGTCTCCCTCGTGTGAGCCGACCTCGGAGAGTAGCGGTGGGGTCCTCGGTCTCCCTCGTGTGAGCTGATGTCGGCGAGTAGCTGTGGGATCCTTGGTCTCCCTCGTGTGAGCCGACGTCGGAGAGTGGCGGTGGGGTCCTCTGTCTCCCTTGTGTGAGCAGATGCTGGAAAGTAATGGTGGGGTCCTCGGTCTCCCTCGTGTGAGCTGACACCGGAGAGTAGTGGTGGGGCCCCCGTCCCCTTGGTGTGAGCTGATGATTTAGACTGTGTTCTTCTGCCTAAAAGAGGAGGCGGATCCTCCTCCTCTCTGAGGAGTGTGGCATGCTGGGCGCCCTCGTGTGTCGGCATTTGTAGCCACAAGCATGGAACCTGGTTGGCTCTTCTATGTTGAAGGACTGCTGGGGGCCCAGTCATGGGGTCCTGAAGCCGCCTGGCAAGGACAGCCCTGCTGGCGCCTGGAACACACCCCTGACGTGGCCTCGACCACACATCCACATGGACGCATGGCAGGGTGTGTGTGCGGTTGCTGCTCTGGGCTGATCTGGTGAGGATGGGGTGGGCCGGAAGAGGGACACAATACCTACTCCTCCTTGCAGGGGCGTTGGCACCCAGAAGGGGAATTTTTTATTCAAAGTAATTTTTTGGAATAGTATAGGGGGAGATTTAGGAATAAAAAAGCCAAAAGGTAAATGGTACAGGTAGTCTCTATACCCTTTTCTGCCTTCCATGTGGGGCAGCAGATTCCAGCTGATTCTGTTAAGCGCTTGGAGAAGAGACTGGCCCTTTTTCAGCTGTGCCTCCACAGCGTCCACCCCAGGGTCCCTGTTGCCTTCCCAGCTGCTTAGCAGAATCTGGTGGCAGGAGGGCGAAGGGGGATAAGCGGAGCATGGAACACGTCTGTGCCCTGGACAAGCATGTCGGCAGCAGAGCAGGAGAGCCATGGCCGGCTCCCTTCCCACCGTGTCTGCAGGGACCCGAAGCCCTTTGCTCCAGGGGCAAGGGCATGTGTGGCCCAGCCCACTGTTCAGGGCGGGGCGTGGTGGGGTGAGGGTGGGCGTGGGGCAGGGGAAGATCATCAAGCAGATGTGGAGCTCCATGGCGGTGCAGGGCCCTCCAAGCATTTCTGTTGTGATTGTGGATTATTAAGTTGTAACAACAACAACAAGAAAGCTATTGTTCAAACAACAAATGAGCAATGTGAGCTGCATGTGGTCGGCTGGTGGTTTTGGTGGTGAGAAGGTTGGCAGGGAGACCTTTGGAGCAGGGCCCATGTATGCTGAGAACACTGCTGCTGCCCCCTAGGCGGCCTCGGCAGGCGGCCCTGAGTGCTGTCTTGGCCCCTGCGCCAGCCCCACCCCCGCGTCTCCTGCTGGCTCTGGGGGGGTGCTCTGTGCAGCTCTGCGCTGTCTTCAGCCTGTTGCGAGTGACTCTTGACGTCTGTCTTTCAGAGACACTATGGACAGCGTGAAGCAGAGCGCGGCCCTGTGCTTGCTGCGCCTGTACAGGACGTCCCCCGATCTTGTCCCCATGGGCGACTGGACATCCCGAGTGGTGCACCTGCTCAATGACCAGCACTTGGTAAGCACCCTTGGCTTTGGTTCTCCCCGCTCCCCCAGGTGACCTTTGGGATGGCCGTTGTGAAGACACCATGGTGCGCCTTCTCGGGATGCCCAGGAGAGGCTGTCACAGGGGCTGCTGTGGCTGCGTGCTGAGGCCACGGGGGCCCTTCCTGGGGCTGGATGAGTAAGACTCCGCCTCTGCTCATCCTGTGGCCAGGCATTGGCTGAAGCCCTCGGGTAGCACAGAGGCTCTGCAGACACCCCCAGCTGAGACACGTGTCTCCTGGAAACACCTATCTAGTATGGGGAGCTCCTGCCTGGTGTCCCGGCTGCCTGTGCCCTCATCTAGGCTCTAACGTGCAGTCTTACTAATCCTCGTGCCTACTCCACGGGCCAGGCCCCCATGGTATAGGCATACACCAAGGGTGGAGGTTTCCAGCGATTTGGTGATGTGTGTTCAGGTGCTGTGAGAGGCAGGTATGGGGGAGGGGCTGTGCTAGTGTGTGAGCGTCAGGGGCTTGAGGGTCACAGAGCCGTCCACCGCATCCAGCAGGGGTGGATGTGGGCAGAATGTGCTTGTCCTGCCTGAACTCTGCTCTATGAATGAGAGGGTGAGAGTTGGCAGGAGTGGAAGTATTTCCTGCTGCGTGGAGAGGCATGTGGGCCGGTCACGCGTTCACAAGGATCCAGGATAGAGGGCCGAGAATGCCACTTTCCCATGTTGCCGTGAGCCCCATCCTGGCGGGGGAGCCTTTCAGACGGTGCTGCTGGAGGCTGTCGTCCACCATCCCGTGGACCGTGGGAGGTCATGGGATTTTCCCGCTTTGCAGTCAAGGAGGCCGAAGCTGGGAAAGAGGAAATGCCCTCTGACAGCCCCAGGCTTGTACCCAGAGTTGGCGTGTTGGGGTCTTGGGCGTCAGAGAGTGTGCGGGTGAAGCAGCTATGTGGGAGCTGTGAGTCGGCAGGGCCTGGTCAGGGAGGCAGGCCCCGGGCTCCTGCTGCACATGGCAGCCCGTCACTGGGCTGCTGAGGGACCGGGGCTGCCTGCTTTCCCCTGGGCCTTCTGCAGACAGGATCTGTGCACGCTCTGTGGGACTGGCCGGGACTGCTGTCATTGCTCCTGCCTTGGCAGGAAGTTTCCATGGCCATGCAGCCGCAGGGTCACCCTGAGTGCTTTTCAGGGTGGCAGGGCCTTGCCTCAGATGGCCACAAGGGCACCTCTCCTTGGATACTTTATGATTCTGTGACGCCAGCTACTTGGTTTGCTTTTTGTATTTTTATGCATCTGGCTTTATTTCACCAGGCACTTGAGTCAGCATATTCTTGGTTATAGGCAACGGAAACTCATCCTGAAGGGACGCCACAGCCAACCCCAGGGTGGGCTCCCTGCTGCCCAGTACTTTCCCTCCTTAGCTCTCCCAGCTTGCGCACCTGCACCCCTGGCAGCTGTCTTTTGTGTGGCCATGGCTTTTGTCAAATGCCTTCCACCTCTGACAGCGAAGGCCTGAGGCTTGGCTTCTCTGGTCTCAAGTCAGGAGCCCCCAAGAAAGGTGTCATTTGCTCACCTAGAGTGAGTGAGCTCCCCCATGTGTCCTTCAGGGAGGTCTTGTGGAGTGGGACAGGAAGCGTGGGCGGGACCAGGTGGGTGAGGGTCAGAAGGTCGGCGGTCAGGCCTGCGCCCGGAGTTGGGTGGTGGGGAGGGAGGTGATTTGGCCCGAGTGCTGCATGGGCACCGTGCCGAGCCTTGGGTCTGTAGCCTGAGGGTGGCCTGATGGAGCAGACAGGTTGGAGTGGACAAGGACAGGAGACACCATGGGGAGAAGGGTTGGGGGGCTGGGCCAAGGGCTGGAGGCCACTGAGGAGACACGGAGGTCGCTTTGGCACCAGCTGCCACCACAGGGGTGGGGCCACGTGTCGCGGGCCTGAGTGTGCCCCTCGAGAGGCCTCTTACAGTCTCAGTGCAGGGGGAGGACGTCCTAAATGAGAGGCTGAGCTCCGCGCCTGTCAGCCTGTTGCAGGGGGCATTCTAGATGCGTGTTTCCTGGGGGAACACACCGTGAACATTCAGGAGCCCCGTGGGGAATGACTCTGCCCTCATGGAAGTTACAGACCTGCAGTTTCTTACAAGTTCTTTATTGGACATGGCAAAATCCGTTAGCACTTTGCTCACCGAGAAATACAGGAAGAAGACCAATCAGACCAATTTCTTTCTTACAGCTTTCACATTTTCCTTGGAAAGCTGAGGGCACAGGCACAGCAGGTCTCTGGGGAGAGTGCCGTGCTATAGTAGGTGCACCCCAGCCTGGCTGAGGAGCCGTGGCACAGGGCGAGTGGTGGGGGGATTGCATCAGTCATTCAAGTAGACATTTCCTTTCAGACAGAGGCTTGCTCTGTCACCCAGGCTGGAGTGCAGTGGCGCGATCTCAGCTCACTGCAACCTCTGCCTCCTGGGTTCAGGCGATTGTCCTGCCTCAGCTTCCCGAGTAGCTGGGATTACAGGCGAGGCGAGTGCCACCACGCCTGGATAATATTTGTATTTTTAGTAGAGATGGGGTTTCACCGTGTTGGCCAGGCTGGTCTTGAGCTCCTGACCTCAGGTGATCCGCCTGCTTCGGCCTCCCAAAGTGCTGGGATTACAGCATAAGCCACCGTGCCCACGCAAGTAGACACTTCCTGAGCTCACTGTTTACATCTTCAGAGTGAATAGGTATCATTTATTTTATATTTTTTAAAAAAATTTATGGGAGAATGTCTTTATATAATTAAAGTCTTTTTTCAAGAGGTCTGAGTGACTGATTCCCTAGTGGCTGTCCTGGAGCGGTGACAGGCTGCCCGGTGCCGTGTCCTGGAGCGGTGACAGGCTGCCCGGTGCCGTGTCCTGGAGCGGTGACAGGCTGCCCGGTGCCGTGTCCTGGAGCGGTGACAGGCTGCCCGGTGCCGTGTCCTGGAGCGGTGACAGGCTGCCCGGTGCCGTGTCCTGGAGCGGTGACAGGCTGCCCGGTGCCGTGTCCTGGAGCGGTGACAGGCTGCCCGGTGCCGTGTCCTGGAGCGGTGACAGGCTGCCCGGTGCCGTGTCCTGGAGCGGTGACAGGCTGCCCGGTGCCGTGTCCTGGAGCGGTGACAGGCTGCCCGGTGCCGTGTCCTGGAGCGGTGACAGGCTGCCCGGTGCCGTGTCCTGGAGCGGTGACAGGCTGCCCGGTGCCGTGTCCTGGAGCGGTGACAGGCTGCCCGGTGCCGTGTCCTGGAGCGGTGACAGGCTGCCCGGTGCCGTGTCCTGGAGCGGTGACAGGCTGCCCGGTGCCGTGTCCTGGAGCGGTGACAGGCTGCCCGGTGCCGTGTCCTGGAGCGGTGACAGGCTGCCCGGTGCCGTGTCCTGGAGCGGTGACAGGGTGCCCGGTGCCGTGTCCTGGAGCGGTGACAGGCTGCCCGGTGCCGTGTCCTGGAGCGGTGACAGGCTGCCCGGTGCCGTGTCCTGGAGCGGTGACAGGCTGCCCGGTGCCGTGTCCTGGAGCGGTGACAGGCTGCCCGGTGCCGTGTCCTGGAGCGGTGACAGGCTGCCCGGTGCCGTGTCCTGGAGCGGTGACAGGCTGCCCGGTGCCGTGTCCTGGAGCGGTGACAGGCTGCCCGGTGCCGTGTCCTGGAGCGGTGACAGGCTACCCGGTGCTTTGGGGAGGACTGCTTGTGCCCTGGGATCTGAATCTGTTCTCACTGAGGGCCAGGAGGAGCGGGGAGGGAGGACTCGCGTGCTGGGCCTAGTGGCCTCATCCAGCCTATGGTGGTTCAGTGACTGCCAGGGCCACTTTCCAAAAAGGAGAATGGAAAAGGACTTCTCCAGTTGCTCTTTTCTATAGTCTCACTTCTGGGTTGTAAAGATTCAGATCAGTGTAAAGGTAGCGTCTCCCTCTACAGTGAACATGCGTTATTAAACCAGAGGCAGCAAGTGCAGATGACGGTGGAGGCCAGGCCAGGAGAGGGCAGCAGGCAAGGTGGCGTGTGCAGCCCACATGCTTGACCTGCATGGCTGGACGTGGCCCTCTGGCTCTTCGATGCTGGCAGGGATCTGGGCTAAGCATGACGGAACTTCCCAGTTTTTAAGGAGAAGCTGGAAAAAGAAAATCTGCATGTGCCATCTGGGAGAACATTGTAGGTTTCTCGGAGTAGGCCTGAGGCCGAGGTGGCTGTGGGCTGCCACTGTGCTGCTGGTTGGTTTAAGGTTTTCTTTGGAAGATGAGTGAACACAAGTGGTTAGCTTCAAGTGTTCTGACTCTTGTGTGTGTGTTTTCTTTCAGGGTGTGGTAACTGCAGCCACAAGTCTGATCACCACTTTAGCACAGAAGAACCCAGAAGAGTTTAAAACCTCCGTGTCTCTGGCTGTCTCTAGGCTAAGCAGAGTAAGTCTGTTCGTGGGGGAGCAGAAGTCAGGGTGGGTTTTGTCTTAGTTATTTATTTATTAGCTTATTTGTAGAATGCAAGGTATTTGATCAGTTTATAAATTCAGGGATGAAAACCAACTTGGCTTCTCTGTCAGCCTTCTTGTTGAGAACTGTCCTGTCTGTACAGAAGCACAGCTCCCTGTTCCCATGGTGTGAGTGAGCACCCAACACCATGTGGGTGGAGGAGGGGCACCCAGTGGCCCCGTGTCCCCCACTGGGGAAGCGTGGCTGGTGCTTCGTGGACCCACCATCTGGCGTGCACGCTAAAGCCTGCCATTCAGCTTCCTGTTCTGAGTTTGATGCAGATGGACCTGCAGCACACATTCTTTTGTTTTGCTCAACATGGTAAAATTTTTGTTTTGTGTGCAGCTGTTATACATTCATGTTTGATGCTTCATAGAATTGGTTGTGTGAATTGTCCGCTGCAGTTTACCTGCTGTCCTGTTGAACACTTAGCTCCTTGCCCTCTGAGGCTGCTGTGAATCCTCCAGCATGAGCAGTCTTGGATGTCCCTTGGTTTCCATGTGCACGAGATGGCTCAGCTGGGGCCGCGGCTCCTGAACCTGAGGAGACTGGCGTTGCCAGACCAGCTTCCCCTGCCGTGCACACGGCTCTCACAGCGGCAGCAGGAGGCGCGGGCGCGGCACGCGTAGTGCTAGTCTCTTGGGTTTTAGTCATCTGGGTGTATAGTGGGAGCTCTGTGATTTATTTTTTATTTTTTTCTTTTGAGACAGAGTCTCACTTTGTCGCCCAGGCTAGAGTGCAGTGGTGCAGTCTCAGCTCACTGCCACCTCTGTCTCCTGGATTCAAGGGATTCTCCTGCCTCAGCCTCCAGAGTAGCTGGGATTACAGGCACCCACCACCAAGCCTGGCTAATTTTTGTATTTTTAGCAGAGATGAGGTTTCACCATGTTGGCCAGGCTGGTCTTGAACTCCTGACCTCAAGCAATCTACCTGCTTTGGCCTCCCAAACTGCTGGAATTATAGGCGTGAGCCACCGCACCCGGCCTCTTTGAGATTTAAATCTACATTTTCCAGATTATCAATGAGGTTGAGCAACTTTGCATGTTGATTGGCTGTTTGGGTGTCTTGTTTTGTGAAGTGCCTGAGTCTTTTACCCATTTTTACCCTGGGTTGTCCGTTTTTTGTGTTGAATATTTCACCATTAAGTATGATGTCTGCTTTAGAATTTTGTTGTTGTCGTTGGTACTCTTCACATTAAAGAAGTTCCTTTCTCTATCTAGTTTGTCAAACAGTTTTTATCATTAACTGGTAAAAACATTTGAACTTGCAGTTTTCTTTGTGGGAAACTTTTTTTTTTTTTTTGAGATAGGGTCTCGCTCTTGGTGCCCAGGTTGGAGTGCAGTGGTACGATCTCGGCTCACCATAACCTCTGCCTCCCAGGTTCAAGCGGTTCTCCTGCCTCAGCCTCCCGAGTAGCTGGGATTAACAGGCGCCCGCCAGCACGCCTGGCTAATTTTGTATTTTTAGTAGAGATGGGGTTTTTCCATGTTGGTCAGGCTGGTCTCGAACTCCTGACCTCAGGTGATCTGCCCACCTTGGCCTCCCAAAGTGCTGGGATTACAGGTGTGAGCCCCTGCGCCTGGCTGTGAAACTTTCTAATTATGAATTCAATTTATTTTATAAGTTGTGGAACTGTGCATATTTTCTTTTTCTTTTTTTTTTTTTTTTTTTGAGTCGGAGTCGCACTCTGTTGCCCAGGTTGGAGTGCAATGGCACGATCTCGGTTTACCACAACCTCTGCTTGTGTTCAAGCGATTCTCCTACCTCAGCCTCCCGAGTAGCTGGGACTACAGGCCGTCGCCACCACGCCCAGTTAATTTTTGTATATTTTTGATGGAGATGGGGTTTCACCACAATGGCCAGGCTGGTTGCGAACTCCCGACCTCAAGTGATTGATTGCACCTGCCTTGGCCTCCCACAGTGCTGGCATTATAGGCATGAGACACCGCACCTGGACTCCTTTCCTCTACTTTCTTTGGGTTAATTTGCTAGTCTCTTTTTATTATTTATTTATTTATTTATTTATTTTGAGATGGAGTCTCACTCTGTCGCCCAGGCTGGAGTGCAGTGGCACGATCTTGGCTCACTGCAAGCTCCGCCTCCTGGGTTCACGCCATTCTCCTGCCTCAGCCTCTCGAGTAGCTGGGACTACAGGCGGCCGCCACCATGCCTGGCTAATTTTTTGTATTTTTTAGTAGAGATGGGGTTTCACTGTGTTGGCCAGGATGGTCTCGATCTCCTGACCTTGTGATCCACCCGCCTCGGCCTCCCAATGTGCTGGGATTACAGGCGGGAGCCACCGCACCCGGCCTAGTCTCTTTTTAAACGCTTGAGATGAATTTTTGTTGCTTTTCTCTTTATATTTGTTTCAAATATATACAGTTAAGGCTGTACATTTCTCTCTGAGCCCGGCCTTAGGTGCGTACTTGTTTGAGAGACAGCTCATGTTGGCCGTGTCTGTGTGTCACGGAAGTGCTGTGATTCTTGCCTTTTCCTGCTTTGTGTTTGTGCCTTTCAGCCTTGTCTTTGACAGCCTAGAGCTTGCCTCCTTGCAGCAGGAGTCCGTGACCCAAGTCTGGGCTGGCATCTTGCAGCTTAGGGTAGGAGTCAGGGTGAACTTTTCTGAATGGGTTCACTTACGGCCTAAAAGTGTCACATGTGAGCTTTGTAGGAAGGGAGGAACTACCCTGACCTCCGGGAAACAGGAGACATCGGGCTGTATGTCAGTGGAAATGCGAGGTAGTCGTGATTGTCACTTGTTCAGGAGGTTGACGGAGGATCTGCCAAGCCAAAGGCCGCATTGGACACAGAGATGGGATGTGAGTGAGGTGGGCAGTCTCCCTGCCTCCGTGAGCTCACCATCTGGGTTGGCCTGTGGTCGGGGGGCCCTGTGGGGTTGTGGGGTAGGGTCAGAATGCCGGCTTCTGGGGGTGGGGGTGCTTCTTCCTTCTGAGGAGGCTAAAGCTCTCTCTCTGATTTCATTCACGTGCCGGTCCACAAAGGAAAGACTGTAGTTTCAAATCCAGGTGCTATGGTGTCTTGTACCGAGCGAGGGCTGCCACTCAGCTGCGGCAGCGTGTTGCCGAGTGACAGTGCAGCCCTCTCACGGCGAACCCAGGGGGTACCAAGCAGTGTCAGACACTCTTGGCACATGAAACAAAACCATTTTTCCAGCTCAGGCGTGACCCGAGGAGTGAGTATGGCTTTTCTTTGGGTCCCCGCAGTAGGGGCTCGTGTCCGGCAGCGTGTCTCATTGCCTGTGCTGTCTTACAGATCGTGACGTCTGCATCCACAGATCTCCAGGATTACACTTACTATTTTGTCCCGGCTCCCTGGCTGTCTGTCAAACTGCTGAGACTGCTGCAGTGCTACCCACCCCCAGGTAACGCGCAGGCCGCGGCTCCTGAAGCTGCACCAGTGCCAGTCTGATTCCCTGTCTCAGATTTAAGTGGTTTGTTTGTTATTTTAAGAAGTGTGTTACTAGCCCTGTCTCTTGATTCATGGACCTTTCTGCCAGTGCTGCTGTATGCGCTGGCTTTCGTGGAGCAGTTATTGCAGAGCCTACAGTTTTGTTAGTGTTTGGGTCTATTTGTGCTTTTATAGTATCAGATTTGTGCAGGTTTTCTTTTTGAGACGGAGTCTCCCTTTGTTGCCCAGGCTGGAGTGCAGTGACGCGACCTCAGCTCACTGCAACCTCTGCCTCCCGGGTTCAAGCGATTCTCCCACCTCATCTTCCTGAGTAGCTGGGATTACAGGCACCTGCCATCATACCCGGCTAACTTTTGCGTTTTTGTAGAGACGGGGTTTCACCATGTTGGCCAGTCTGTTCTTGAACTCCTGACCTCAGGTGACTGGCCTGCCTCGGCCTCCCAAAGTGCTGGGATTACAGAAGTGAGCCACCGTGCCCGGCCTGTCTCAGTTTTGTAAATGCTTCCAGCTGGGTACACAAATGTGAATGAACTATATTAAAAATGCTCTCATGATGTATGGGTGCAGCCGGGAGGGGCAGGGTGGGCTGCGGGCCACTGGAGACTGGTGAGCACCGTTCTGTCTTGCCCAGAAGACCCTGCAGTGCGAGGCCGCCTGACTGAGTGCCTGGAGACCATCCTGAACAAAGCCCAAGAACCGCCCAAGTCGAAGAAGGTCCAGCACTCCAACGCGAAGAATGCCGTGCTTTTCGAGGCCATCAGCTTAATCATTCACCATGACAGGTGTGTCGGCTGCCTGTGGAGAGGCTTCGTCTCGCGCACACACACACGTTCCTTCTCGTTGGCACGAGACTGGGCGGATCATGTCTGGTTTGTCCACTCCATGGGCCTCCCCTTCGTCCTGCCTCTGTGCTCCCTGCCGGATGCTTTTTTTCTTTCTGTGCAGCCCGGCCCCTCCTGCTCTGAGCTCACCGTGGATTGCTTTGGTGACTGTGGTCTCATCCCACACGAGGGCCTTTTCCTCCTTCCCCTGAGCATCCCCACTCCTGACTGGCTTCTCATGTAGTGGAACAGAGAGGAGACGGGTGGGGTGGGGGGTGTGCGCGCATGTCCCGTGGCTTTGCTGGATGTGGAGCCGCACTTGGTGGGTCCAGGGTCGCAGGGCAGTGCTGGAAACGTCTGTGCCCATCCACGAAGCGCAGAGGCGCAGGGTGGCGGTCGCTCCACACAGCCTGGAGGGTCTGCCTCCTCTGCTCCCACGCCTTCTCTGCTCAGCAGTTGCGGCGCACCACATGTGGTCTGGCGTGGGTCTTGCGTGTGGGGCCATGCTTTAGGGTCCTGTGAGAATGAGATCGCAGTTCTCACCAGGCTCCCAATAATGAGGGAACGTGCCAGGCTGTGGGCAGACGCTCTCTACAGCTAGTGAACACCACCCATTTGCTACTACAGCATTTTTACAAATGATGAAAACTCAGTCTGAGAGTCACACTTCAGAACTGAGAGTTATTAAAACTGAAATTTCCCATTTTGGAGAAAGCTCTGTTGTTATGTGAGGAGAAGCCACATCCTGAGGAGACAGTAGAGTCAGTGGGGCAGCAGCCGCGCTCCCGGCCTTCTCGGCCTTCTCCCTGCCCTGGGCTGGTGCCTCTGGCTGAGACCCCATTGCCGGTCACAGCTTGACCGGCCTCCCGCGGGCCTGATGCAGATTGAGGCTCAGGAGGTGCTGGGAAGGCTCCAGTGGACACACGGGCTGCTGACTCACTGTGGGGATGCACAGGATGGACACAAAATGGATGTCAGGGGTGGGGGTCGGGCGTCATCTGCATCTGGGGAGGCCCCCGAGTTCCCACTTGAGCAGTGTGGTGGCGGTGAGTGCCGTGTGACTTTGCTGTCTGCCATCTGGACCCGTCGGGGAACGCAGACTCTGTCCAGTTTGTGTTGCACTTGCTGAGGAAACCCCACCCACTTCCCCTCCCTCCACACAGTGAGCCGAACCTGCTCGTCCGTGCCTGCAACCAGTTGGGCCAGTTTCTGCAGCACCGCGAGACCAACCTGCGCTACCTGGCCCTGGAGAGCATGTGCACGCTGGCCAGCTCTGAGTTCTCCCATGAGGCTGTCAAGACGCACATCGAGACGGTCATCAACGCCCTGAAGGCGAGTGCCCTGTCCTTGGGTTCTGCTCACTCCCTGAGCAGGTGCCGTGGGTCTTCCTGTGAAGGCTGGGGGTACGCAGTGCCTCCTGACTCCCCGCAGAGATGGAGGTGGTGCTGGTGCTGCTGGCCTCCGCCTGTCACCTACTCTTGGGAGGTCACACCACTGTTGAGGGCCATGCTGCCTGGAGATGGCCGGGTTGGCCCTGCTGTCCTGGTTAGGCTGAGCAGAGGAGTCTCTGGCAGCCCTTTCCCTGCTGGGGGCAGCCCCCGTGTGCCATCCTGCGCGTGCATAGTGCTGACAAGTAGAAATGGTTCTTCTTGGTAGAAAGATGAAATTTTTTTCCCTTATCTCCAAGAAAATCCCCCTTTTACAAAGGAAACTCACTTTGTTCGGGGATTAAAATTTCAGAGTTGGGGCCGGGCGCGGTGGCTGACGCCTGTAATCCCAGCACTTTGGGAGGCCGAGGCGGGTGGATCACAAGGTCAGGAGATCGAGACCATCCCGGCTAACACGGTGAAACCCCGTCTTTACTAAAAATGCAAAAAAAAATTAGCCGGGCGTGGTGGCGGCCGGTGCCTGTAGTCCCAGCTACTCAGGAGGCTCAGGCAGAAGAATGGCTTGAACCCAAGAGGCGGAGCTTGCAGTGAGCCGAGATCGCGCCACTGCACTCCAGCGTGGGCGACAGAGCGAGACTCCGTCTCAAAAAAAAAAAAAAATTTCAGAATTGGAAGAGCCCAGTTGAGGTTGGCCATTGCCAGCCTTTGCGAGTCTCCAGAGCGACCCCGAGGGTTCGTTCCACATAGGGGACCCTGCGGTGTGTCCACCAAGTCCCTAGTCACCGGTGCACATGCGTTAGGGAGTGGGAGGCGGGGAGCTGCATGTCCCCCATCTGGCTCAGCCTCAGGCTGTGGCAGGGCTGCTCCCAGTCCCCCGCACGTCTGCGTGCAGCTCACAGATATTCCGGGTGGTGTGCAAGGGGCTCGTGGTGGGCATTTGGTATTCTGGATTCTTCTTGGTCCTGGTTTTGGTGTTTGTTTTAGTCAATCCCTATTGTCAGAAGGGCTGGACACTCATTTGCACACGGCCAGTGCTAGCGCTGGTGGTGCCCACTCTCCTGCCTTTGTTGGGAGCAGAGCTCGGGCTTTCTGGTGCTGCAGAGCCTCCTGGGGGCCCATCAGCACGGGCTCTGGGGTGGGGCGTGAGGACCTGCCTTGGGGCAGCTCCGTGTCCGAGGCAGTGGGGTCTTTGGCTGCATGGAAGGGAGTCCTTGATGGCCTGCACCAGGCAGTGCGCTCAGTCCTAGCGAAGCTGGCCCTTGTGGAGGGCAAGGGAGGCATGGACGAGCGGGCAGAATCCAGGCAGTGCGCTGGGTCCTAGCGAAGCTGGCCTGTGCGGGAGGGCCGGGCCAGCAGGCGGAACTCTATTCCGGGCTGTCCAGACACACGTGGCCCGAGTGCAGGTCGGCTCCCTGGACCTGGATGTGCATGTGAGGGAAACTCAGAGTGGGTGTTGAGATGCGGGTGCCGAGCCTGTCCCCAGCCTGTCCCCAAGCTTGTGCCTTGCTCCTGCGACCTCTTACTCTGTGCCTTGTTCCCCAGACTGAGCGGGACGTGAGCGTGCGGCAGCGGGCCGTGGACCTCCTCTACGCCATGTGCGACCGCAGCAACGCCCCACAGATCGTGGCCGAGATGCTGAGCTATCTGGAGACAGCTGACTACTCCATCCGAGAAGAGATTGTGAGTTCTGGTGGCCTCTGAGTCCTCTCCTGCCACAGGCGTGAATCTCAGCGGCAGGATTTCCTTCGTGCTCTGCGATTCCGTCCAGCAGGACTTGATTGAGAACCCATGAGATGCTGAATACAAGGCTCCTCTGCCTCTGTGTTTTCATCCACATTTTCAAGCTGGGTGTGGTGGCACCTGTGGTCCCCGCTACTCCTGAGGTGGAGGCGGGAGGATCACCTGAGGCCAGGAGGTTGAGGCTGCAGTGAGTCGAGATCATGTCACTGCACTCTAGCCTGGGCAACACAGCGAGACCCTGTCTTAAAAAAAAATCAGCATTTTTGGTAGAGTCGTTTGGTCTTGAAAATAACTATTGGCCGGGTGTGGTGGCTCACGCCTGTACACCTTGGGAGGCCAAGGCGGGCGGATCACCTGAGGTCAGGAGTTCAAGACCAGCCTGACAAACATGGGGAAACCCTGACCCCGTCTCTACTGAAAATACAAAATTAGCCGGGCGTAGTGGCGCATGCCTGTAATGCCAGCTACTCCGGAGGCTGAGGCAGGAGAATCGCTTGAACCTGGGAGGCGGAGGCGGAGGTTGTGGTGAGCCGAGATTGCGCCATTGCACTCCAGCCTGAGCAACAAGAGCGAAACTCTGTCTCAAAAAAAAAAAAACTAAAATGCCCGTCCTGCGCGGCTTCTGTGGCCTGCCTGTCCTTGCAGTGGTGGCACTGTAGCCCCAGGTCTGAGTGAGGCTCCAGCCGTCTGCGCTGGGGCTGCACAAATCCAGACTCCTGTGGGCAAAATTCTTTTAATTGTGTTGCATTTTGAGCCCTTGAATTAATCCTTTGTGGCTTGGCTTTTTTGGGTGTCCCTCTTGATCTCTGGGAAGGACGGGATCTAGGCCATAGCTTAATGTCCCGTGTTGTTTTTATTCACAAAGTAGGTGTGCACACTTGCCAGATAGCTGAAGCTCATCAAACCTGTACGTGTGAAAGACTGAGCATGAACCAAAACCTGAGGGAAGAAACCCTTGTGGAGGCCACATGGTCAGCAGAGAAGAGGGCCTGAGGCCTCCACCACACTCACAGGCCTCTCAGGCTCACCGTGTCTGTGGATGGTGGGGTTTAAGGGGGAGGCCCGGTGTCCTCGCGTGGGGTTCGCCACTGTGACCAGCCAGGACCACAGCCTCTTGTTGAGGCTGAGACAGCGCCTCCGTTGTATAGAAAGCGCTTTGTTATTTGTTTTTTTTGGGCGAAGTGCGGCTCAAGGCCTCCTTGGGAGCTTTGCCGAGAGCCAGTGTTGGAGCTAGTGGCAGGTGACAGGGTTGCTCTGGGCAGGTGTTGTGTGGTCATGCCCAGGTGAGAGACTCGGGTTTTCAGGGGTCTTTTAGTGAACGGAGGAGCCCAGGTGCTGGGGCTTCAATGCTGAGGGGTGAAATTACCATGGACTGAGCTTCAGTGAGGCACTGCAGACCTGCAGAGAGCAGGGGCCAGGAGGCGGCTCTCACGCTGGACTGTCCACCCTCCAGGACAGTGGGCCTGGGAAGTTGAGGGGGACAGGGACGGGGTGGGCTGACTCCCGGCAGGAGGCCCCAAGGGCAGGCACCGTGGTGTAGGGCAGGGCTGTCTGTAGAGGGGCCAGGCAGGTGCTCGTTGACTGTAGCCAGTGGTCCCTCTCTGGCCTGGCTGGGGCAGTGTGGCCTGGTGTCAGCACTTGTGGTGGGGTGGGGCTGGCTCTGGGGACGGCCGTCACGGGAGCCTCGTTCCTGATTGTTGTTCTGGGTGTTTTGAACAGAGACAGAAGCAGTGTGCTTCTGAGTGCAGTTGTGCAGATTTTGAGGTCCTGGGCATTCGTCAGCCCGGTGTCTGCTCTCGCCCCTCTGCGTGATGAGCGGCAATCCTCAGCCAGCTCCTGCTGTGAGGAGTAAGACAGGTGCTGTGTCTTGGCCTGCATGATGCTCCCCCCAGCCCGTCCTTTCAGCCGGACATGATGCTCCCCTCACCCCATCCTTTCAGCTGGGCATGGTGCTCCCCCACCCCATCCTTTCAGCCGGGCATGGTGCTCCCCCCACCCCATCCTTTCAGCCGGGCAGGGTGCTCCCCCCACCCCGTCCTTTCATCTGGGCATGGTGCTCCCCTCACCCCATCCTTTCAGCTGGGCATGGTGCTCCCCCCACCCCATCCTTTCAGCTGGGCATGGTGCTCCCCCCACCCCATCCTTTCAGCTGGGCATGGTGCTCCCCCCACCCCATCCTTTCAGTCGGGTATGGTGCTCCCCCCACCCCATCCTTTCAGTCGGGTATGGTGCTCCCCTCCGTCCTTTTAGCCGGGCATGGTGCTCCCCTCCATCCTTTCAGCCGGGCACGATGCTCCCCCCACCCCGTCCTTTCAGCCGGGTATGGTGCTCCCCTCCGTCCTTTCAGCCGGGTATGGTGCTCCCCTCTGTCCTTTCAGCCGGGTATGGTGCTCCCCTCCATCCTTTCAGCCGGGCATGGTGTTTCCCTCTGTCCTTTCAGTCGAGCATGGCAGGGCGTGTTCTCTGGCTGTGCTAGGTGCTAAGTGTCCAAACTGGACATGGCCCACTCCCTGCCTACTCGGCACCTTGCCATCCATGGAGGGGGACGGATTGAGAGCAGGACCGTGGGTTGCTGTGCTGTGGGTGGGATGGCTGGAGGAAGTGCCTCATGTTCTGGGGGCCTCAGGAGGCATTACACTCCTGGGGGGCTGTGTGGACTTCTGCAGAAGGTGATAGTGGCCTGGTCTGGAGAGGATGATGGTGCAGAGGCTACTGGGAGGGCAGAGCATCCGTTCGTGGAGGGGTGGGAGGTACCTTAGCACAGGCTGGGGAGCAGGGCACGCGAGGCAGGGGTGGAAGCAGACATGGGGACCCTGCCAGTGAGGCCTGAGGGCCCCTGGTGCACAGCCGTGAGCTGCGGGTAGGGCTCAGAGGCAGTACATTTTGGAATGATGCCCTGGAAGTGTCACGGAGTCAGGTTGGGGTTTGGGGGTCCAGGCTCCAGGCAGGGACTTGGGGTGGGGGGGCACAGTCACCAGCACCTGAGAGGCCAGTGGCAGGGTGTGGAGAGGGGGCGGCAGGGTGTGGGGAGGGGCGGCAGGGTATTAGGGGTGCCCTCGGGAGGTGCGCGGTCTTGATGCCTGCTGGCGTTGGTGTTGGCAGCTGGCGCTGTTCGAAGGGGGCTTGGTTCCAGGCGAGGTGACTTTGGGGAGATGAGTTTGGTGTTGTACAGCCTGGCAGAGCTCCATGTGGGTGGCTGCCACGTGGGTGTGGGCTGGGCAGGTGCCTCCGGGGGGCACCCGTGAGAGTGAGCCAGAGAGGGGAAGAAGGGGAACCCCCAGGTGAGGCTCGCAGGAAAGACTGGCCAGAGCCGGAAGAAACCAGCAGAGAAGTGGCCGCCGGGAGCCCAGGGTGGCGCAGTCACTGGCCGCCGGGAGCCCAGGGTGGCGCAGTCAGAGGTCAGAGGAGTGCTGCCACCGGGAGCCTAGGGTGATGAGGTCAGAGGAGTGCTGCCGCCAGGTGCTGGGGCTTTGGGAGAGAAGGGCCCAGGTGGGAGGTGGCCTGGCTGTGGCCGTGGCCTTCTGTGCACTGGTCTCCGCCTCTTCCTGGCTTTCTTTGCTTAAGTCAGGGCATCTTAAACTTTCTGGGCTCGTGGGCTTTTTTGAGAATCGAGTTCAAGCTTCCTCCATGTCCCAAACTTTTGTAGACACATTGAGGTGCTTCTGAAACTCTCACTTTGACTTTGGACGACAGTTTGGTCTTGGGATTGCCATGGCCTGCAGGTGCCGGCCCTCAGCAGCCTGTCCCCCACAGGTGCTGAAGGTCGCCATCCTGGCTGAGAAGTACGCGGTGGACTACACCTGGTATGTGGATACCATCTTGAACTTGATCCGAATTGCTGGTGATTACGTGAGTGAAGAGGTGTGGTACCGAGTCATTCAGATCGTCATCAACCGGGACGACGTGCAGGGCTACGCGGCCAAGACTGTGTTCGAGGTATGGCCCGCAGGATGGCAGGAAGGATGGGGTGGAGGGCAGTTGCAGAAGGTGAGCAGTGAGTGGTTCCAGCCTGCCTGCGTGGAGGTGCCGAGGGCCGTTGCTGACCCCTCTTGCCCCTCAGCTCTTCCCTGAGGCTCTAGCTCCTCCACTGTTGGTGCCCCTTGCTGAGTCCCAGTTTCTTCTCACCCTAACTCTCAAACTTCTGGCTCTCTGGGGGCCACCTGAGAAAGCCGGCCTCTGTGTGTGTGAGAGCATGCTGGGGCATGCCGTGGTGGGGCCTGCCCTGTCCGTCGGAGAGGGTTAGGCCACCGGCAAGGGGTGTGCCATGAGGACGCTGGCAGAACCTCCCCAGCCAGAGCCTGTTGTGGATGCTGCAGCTCCCTCCAGGGCAGGTCAGCGTGTGGCAGCCTTGGGTTCCTTGCTGCTGACACAGGTACTGAGGGTGCTGAGGAAGGCAGGGATGGGCACTTGGACTGGGGTCTCCAGGAAGCTGAGGGGCTGGTGCTGGTGTAGGGTGCACCGCGCCAGGACGTGCCCGCCTCGCCTTAACTCTGGCACCTGGCTGCCACCCCGGCTCATTGTTTGTGCTTCGCAGGCTCTTCAGGCTCCCGCGTGCCACGAGAACCTGGTCAAAGTGGGCGGCTACATCCTGGGGGAGTTTGGAAACTTGATAGCTGGAGACCCGAGATCCAGGTGAGAGGCCCTTTGCGAGTCGGGGCTGTGTGCGCTCCGGCGGGCCTCTCGGTGGTCGGTGGCAAGAGGCGAGGCACCAGCTGGCCCTGCCGTGAGGCCTCGCAGAGCCGCTTCTGCTCCCCATCGGCGTCTTTTTGTTTTCCTTCAGTTGATAGAAAAAGCAGGGATTCTAGTAGAAAATGGAGACGTGGGGTTGATGGCTGACTTAGTGAAAGGGGCGTCTTTGCGGTGGGATCTGGAGCTGGAAGAGGGTCCCGACCAGCGGCCTCTGGTGCAGGCCAGGGGGTCTCGCCGCCGTCCCCCCCCCGCGGGGGCGTGCTGCAGCCTGCGAGGGGACGACGGTGTCCCTGTGTTGTGCCTCCCCGTCCCCAGCCCGCTGATCCAGTTCCACCTGCTGCACTCCAAGTTCCACCTGTGCAGCGTCCCCACCCGCGCGCTGCTCCTGTCCACCTACATCAAGTTCGTGAACCTCTTCCCGGAGGTGAAGCCCACCATCCAGGACGTGCTGCGCAGCGACAGCCAGCTCAGGAACGCAGACGTGGAGCTGCAGCAGCGTGCTGTGGAGTACCTGCGGCTCAGCACCGTGGCCAGCACCGACATTCTGGTAGGAGGCCCCCGCCCTTCGGGCTGGCTTGGCTGAGGGTTGGAGGCCAGGAGCTCTGACCAGTCCCACCCTGTGTTCTTTCCAAGGCGACCGTGCTGGAGGAGATGCCCCCATTCCCGGAGCGGGAGTCCTCCATCTTGGCAAAGCTCAAGAAGAAGAAGGGCCCCAGCACGGTGACAGACCTGGAGGACACCAAGCGGGACAGGAGTGTGGACGTGAACGGGGGTCCTGAGCCTGCCCCAGCCAGTACCAGCGCCGTGGTGGGTCCCTCACCTACTGTGCACCCAGACCTGTCAGGGCCTCACCCCCAAGACTTGGGACCAGCAGAGCATTTGCCTGTCAGGGAGGAGCATGTACTGAGAACCCAGGCTCTGGCTGTGGCTCTGGACACCCCGCTGTCCTGTCCTGGGGGCCACTGTCCCTGCTGGACACGCTGCTGTCCTGTCCTGGGGGCCACTGTCCCTGCTGGACGCCACGCTGTCCTGTCCCGGGGGCCACTGTCCCTGCTGGACGCCCCGCTGTCTGTCCCGGGGGCCACTGTCCCTGCTGGACGCCCCCCTGGCCTGTCCCGGGGGCCACTGTCCCTGCTGGACGCCCCGTTGTCCTGTCCCGGGGGCCACTGTCCCTGCTGCACACCCTGCTGGCCTGTCCCGGGGGCCACTGTCCCTGCTGGATGCCCCCCTGGCCTGTCCCGGGGGCCACTGTCCCTGCTGGACGCCCCGTTGTCCTGTCCCGGGGGCCACTGTCCCTGCTGGACGCCCCCCTGGCCTGTCCCGGGGGCCACTGTCCCTGCTGCACACCCTGCTGGCCTGTCCCGGGGGCCACTGTCCCTGCTGGACGCCCCCCTGGCCTGTCCCGGGGGCCACTGTCCCTGCTGCACACCCTGCTGGCCTGTCCCGGGGGCCACTGTCCCTGCTGGACGCCCCCCTGGCCTGTCCTGGGGGCCACTGTCCCTGCTGCACACCCCGCTGGCTTGTCCCGGGGGCCACTGTCCCTGCTGGACGCCCCTCTGGCCTGTCCCGGGGGCCACTGTCCCTGCTGCACACCCCGCTGTCCTCTCCCGGGGGCCACTGTGCCTGCTGGGCAAGGCACTTCCTTCAGACCGTCGTCTTGTCCAGCTCAGCTCACACATCCTCTGTGGTGCCTTGTTTTAGGGGAAGTGGCCGTCCCCTCTCCTACAGGACTGCCTCACCCAGGCAGCTGTCCTCACATGCTTTGTTGATTTAGAGAGGACCTGTCCTGCCCTGCTCTTCGAGGTTTTATGTAGTGAGTTGGGTTAGGTCTGGTTTTCCTTGTATGTGTGATGCGATGAGAATAATCCTGTAACAGAATGTGTCCTGTGGTATTTGTCAGGTGAGAAGTGTCGTTTTGAGAGTTGCGTTTTTGCTTGGCTCTGCTTGCCAGCTGTTCCCCTCTGCACTGTCAGGGAGGGCTCCTGTCGGGGTCAGGCGGGCTTTCTGTTTGTCCAGTTAGAGGACCTGTCTCTCCAGGACGCAGGTCCAGTGGTGGCAACCAGTGCTGCTACCCAGTATCGGCAGGGCTTTGTGGGGTGAGCTCCTGTGGTGGTGCCTGCCCTGGCAGTGTGCTGGTTGGGAGGGTGCTCATGTCGGAGTCCTGGCACTCCTTGGCGGGGACCTGCTTATGTGCCCCGGCTGACCATGTGTCCTGCCCCTCTGGCCGACAGTGCAGGGCCTGCCATGGGGCTGGTATCCAGGCTGAGCCTGACATCTCAATGAGCAGTCTTCCCTCCCCCTCTTCCTCCCTCTCCCCTCCCTCCACCTAGTGTCCTCTGTGCAGCCCCTGTCCCCCCGTGCCCTCTCTCTGTGTTGTTTGTGGCACGCTGCTGTGCCCGCCATCTGGAGGCTTGAATTGCCTGTGAGCTCATCCTGGAGTGAATGAAATGAATGAAAGATGTGACTCTTTCTCCCAAGGTGGGCGTCTTCCCTTCACGCCTGAGCACCTTCATGCTTATGTTTCTCATGTGCTCTGTAGAGCTGGTGACCTGCTTTTGACCCTGTCTCCTCCCGTGGGACGTCACTAGCCAGGCGCCTAGTGCAGCAGGCCTCTGTCACTCCTCTAATCCATCTCTCCCTCTCCTTTGGACATCTTGACATAGGTTTCTGGAGGCAGAAACTTGCTTGTGGAGATTTGTCTGTGAGCTGCCGGAGCAGGGGCCTTCCCGTGGGTGCTGGGCCGGCAGCGGCTCCGCCCTGCAGAGAGGAGGACGCGGCCCCAGTTGGGTGAGGAGGCGAGGGCAGGATGACGTGATCCAGGGGAGGCTGGTGTGCAGGGATTCCTGGAGGCCGGCTTTCAGCAAGGGCACTGTGAAGTCTTCCACGGAAACCTGGGATTGCCTGTTGGAAGCTGGGAAGGCACCAGGTGCTCTCGCTCCCCTCCAGCTGCTTTGACGTTAAGAGGAACTCGCTGAGGGAGCATGGAAAGGGGCTGTAGGATTGTCTTCAGTCTCTCTTTGGTTCTTATTTGATGTTTCTTTTTAATGTGGGTCCTGAGAAGTGAGGTGTGCCCATACCCCAGGCCTTTGATCACACCCAGGTTTGTCCGGCTAGGCTCAGGGTGGACTTTGGAGGGCCTGGCCTTGACTGTGTGGCTTAGGGATCAGATGGAAGCTTCTGGACCCTGGGAGTGAGAGCAGTGTGCTGCCCTCTGAAAAGGAGGATGAGGGTCCAGTGAGGTTCAGCATTTCTGTAAGGTGCCTTCTTGGAGGGAGTTCCCCCTTCAGGGCTCATTCAGTGGATTTTCTGAGTGTGGCTTCACTCCTGATGGTCAGTGGTGCCTGGCGGGTGGGTTCCTTAGGGAGGTGTCTGTGGCCGAGGCACGCAGCTCTGTTCTGAGCTGAGAGCTGTGGTGTGTGGGCACCTCCGTCCTGACTGAGAGCTGTGGTGTGTGGGCGCCTCCGTCCTGACCGAGAGCTGTGGTGTGTGGGCCCCTCTGTTCTGACCGAGAGCTATGGTGTGTGGGTGTCATTGCTATCCTGTGCTTTCCAATCTGTTCCCATTGCTCACGGGAGCCCCAGTGAGAGGCCCCTCCCTATGGGGAGACACTCCTGGCGAAGTTTTCTTGCTCAGGGTCTTCTGTATGGGCCGTGAAGGGGCCTCAGGGTGGCATCAGCACATGTGCCTTTCCCACGAGAGACAGTGGCTTTATCTTGGTGTCACATTGGCCAAAATGTCTTTTATTTAACATCATAGATGAGGCCAGGACATTTTACTTCTTCCGAGCATCCTCTTTCTGCACACAGCTCCTTGGGGGAGGCTGTGGTGTGCGTGTCCCCGGGTGTGCTGGGGAGCACAGGGGTGTGGGGATCAGAGGCTGCCTGGCTTCACATGCAGGAGCCTGGGGCCCTTGTAGGCAAAACCTTCACCCCTCAAGTTGTCCTGCTATTGGAGGGAGGAGGTGAACTGGTGTGGCCCAGGAGCCAGGCCTGCTCTCTGAGGAGGGTCTCCCAGGCCTGAGAGGATAAGGAAGATGAAGAACCTGAAGTGGGTGTTAGGACCCTACTGTCCTGGGGCCTTGCATCTGGCCTCGCTGTTACAATCTGTGGTAACGTTTCAGGTACAAATGCCTTTACTAGGGCAAAGGGCTTTCCTACTTTAGAAAGCAGTTAAAAGCCATAGATGGCTGGGCATGGTGGCTCACACCTGTAATCCCAGCACTTTGGGAGGCTGAGGTGGGCGGATCACTTGAGGTCAGGAGTTTGAGACCAGCCTGGCCAACATGGTGAAACCCTGTCTCTTCTAAAAATACAAAAATTAGCCAGGTGTGGTGGTGTGTGCCTGTAATCCCAGCTGCTCGGGAAGCTGAGGCAGGAGAATTGCTTGAACCCAGAAGGCGGAGGTTGCAGTGAGCTGAGATTGCACCACTGCACTCCAGCCTGGGTAACAGAGTGAGACTCGGTCTCAAAAAAATAAAATAAAATAAAATAAAAGCCATAGATGTATTTGAATCAGTGCAGGAACCAGGGTAACATCTGTGATGAGATGCAGAGGAGAAACTGTCTCCATTTGGGCTGCAGGTGCATGGCCATGGCCAAGGCCGATGGCTTCCCACGCAGCTCACAGCTTTGTCAGGCTGTGGAGGCCACAGTGTTGGCGGGCGCTGTCCCCGGCGTAGGGAGCAAAGCGCCGCCTTCAGATGGTCTCATCGAGACACGCCTTGGATATTTTTGGGACTCTTCTCTGCCAGCTCCTCTGTGACCTCCCACCCTTGGAGCACATGAGACCCGTGTCGTCTTCTCTTGCAGAGGTGCTCCGTCACAAGAGCAGAGCCTGGGAGCCTGCCCCGTTTCTGACTGCCCCCCAATCCCCATTCTGACTCTCACCCGCCCCCATTCTGACCCCCCGCCCCCATTCTGACCTGCACCTTTTTTGCATAACACACTTTGTGATGCCTCATTTATCTTTGAGTAAAATTCATATATCACAAACCCACACATGTAGTTTTTTTGAAAGTACAGTGTGACACCTTAACTTTGCATTAATGTAAAATGGCATTCAGGTGGAGTCTCAGATAATTACAAACTAATTTTTTACCTTCTTAGATGTCCAGTGGAACATTCTAAAGTTACTCAAGACGAATCTTCAAGTTAGGGTGTCTTGTGTCTCTGTTTTTTGCCTGTGAAATGCCAATATCCTTGTGATAGTCAGAGCCCTCCACATCTCCAGAACGCTCTTAGCTGGGTGGGGGGTTTCTCCACCAAGAGCCCCTGGTGTATAGTGTCAAAGTGTGAGTGTTGCCAGGCTGTAGTTCAGTGGTACGATCTTGGCTCACTGCAATCTCCGCCTCCTGGTTTCAATTCTCCTGCCTCCACCTCCTGAGTAGCTGGGATTACAGGCGTGTGCCACCACACCCAGCTAATTTTTGTATTTTTAGTAGAGACGGGGTTTCACCATGTTGGCCAGGATGGTCTCAATCTTCTGACCTTGGGATCTGCCCCCCTCGGCCTCCCAAAGTGCTGGGATTACAGGTGTGAGCCACCGTGCCAGGCTGGGTGTCCTTTTTATAGGGAGCATCTGAGTCCCTCTGGTGCACAGGCTGCTGTGGGGCAGGACCCGTGGAGCCCAGAGCAGGTCTGAGCTCCCAAAGTCAGGCTGCTGGGGCATTGCTGGGGAGCCTGCTGCCCTGTTGGATGGGTGAGCATGCGATGGACTGAGCTGCTGCTTGTGCCCTGTTGTGAGAGTTTAATCATGAGATCATAGGCGCTCTTTCCTTGTGCCTTTGCCCCAGGATCAAAGAGCAATTACTGGGGCCGGGTGCGGTGGCTCATGGGAGGCCGAGGTGAACGTATCACCTGAGGTCAAGAGTTCGAGACCAACCTGGCCAACATGGTGAAACCCTGTCTCCACTGAAAATACAAAAATTAACTGGGCGTGATGGCGGCCACCTGTAATCCCAGCTACTTGGGAGGCTGAGGCAGGAGAATCGCTTGAGGTGGAGGTTGCAGTGAGCCCACACCAGTGCACTCCAGCCTGGGCAATAGAGTGAGACTGTCTCAAAAAAAACAAAAACAGAGACAGTCTCTTGCTATGTTGCCCAGGCTAGTTTTAAACTCCTGGACTCAAGCAGTCTTTCTGTCTCAACCTTCCAAAGTGCTGGGATTACAGGTGTGGGGCACCATGCCCAGCCAAAAAGCAATTATTTTTTAAAAGTATCCGTTCTGTAGACTTTTAATGATTAATAATGATTTAGTAATAATTTAATGATTAATAATGCACCCGAGTAAGTTATTTGCTTTTTCATCTTTGGAAGCTTACTTTCTTATTGGACAGTTGGCAGTAACATGCATGATCTTAGTTCTTTCTTTTTTTTTTTTTTTTTTGAGATGGAGTCTCGCTCTGTCGCCCAGGCTGGAGTGCCGTGGTGCGATCTCGGCTCACTGCAAGCTCCGCCTCCCGGGTTCACACCATTCTCCTGCCTCAGCCTCCCGAGTAGCTGGGACTACAGGCGCCCACCACCACGCCCGGCTAATTTTTTTTGTATTTTTTAGTAGAGATGGGGTTTCACCGTGTTAGCCAGGGTGGTCTCGATCTCCTGACCTCGTGATCCGCCCACCTCGGCCTCCCAAAGTGCTGGGATGACAGGTGTGAGCCACCGCGTCTGGCCTTTTTTTATGTCTTTCATGGCAAAATTTTTTTGAGAATTTTTTTCATTCAAATAGCATTTGTGAAAAAATGTAGGGTGCCTTAGTGAAATTATGACTGATGTTTTAAGTGCAGTTATCTTTAGGCTGGAGTCTGGGATATACTCAGGAAGTGGCTGTTAGCCCTCACTCTCTGGTCACTCACTGAGTTGTGTGCCACCTGCCCCAGCCACTGGGAGTGCATGGATGCCAAGGGGGTGCCATGGGGGAGGACGTGCAGGCGTGAGCTGCCTGGGGTTGGCCAGGCCAGGGAGGCTCTCTGCTGATGCTCTCCTTCCTTCTCTTCCAGTCTACGCCTTCTCCGTCGGCAGACCTGCTGGGTCTCGGGGCTGCCCCCCCTGCCCCCGCGGGCCCCCCACCCTCCTCCGGCGGCAGCGGGCTGCTCGTGGACGTGTTCTCAGACTCGGCCTCTGTGGTCGCGCCTCTCGCTCCTGGCTCCGAAGACAACTTTGCCAGGTAGTCAGGTTTCCTGAGTCCTGCAGACAGGCACGGGGCTGCCGTGCCCCCTGACTTCTGGTGTGGCCGCGGCCAGCTGGACAGAGGTGGGCAGCGGAGTTTACCTCCCAGATTACTGCCTGGGGGAGAGAGCGGGAGCTGCTGTGTTGTGGGTGGGTTTGCTGTGTCATTCCTCTCACAACCTTGATTTATATGGACTGCAGTGTTCATTACTCTCAGGAGGAAAAGGAGGACATGAAAGAAACACACTGTCTGGGTGGTGGTTGTGTCCTGTCTGCACGGTGATGTCCGATCATGTTTCAGCTGCTGTTTGAGTGTTGATAAACACTCTTTGTAGCTACACGTCTCCTCTCTTCGCCTCTTTCCTGTCTAGTTGGGCTGCTTTTCATTCTGACTTAAGCCGTCTTGTCTGTGTCTGTCCTGGAGGCCCGGTCTCTTGTCCTTGAGTTGCTCACTTGCTAAGTCCTTCTGTGAGGCCCACCCTGCTCACGCCTTCGGCCTCCACCCTGTGGTTCCCCCTGAGGGCAGCCTGTCTTTGCTGCTTGTCCTGCTCTAATTTCTGTCCGGTGCCTGGGCACCTCCCGGCTCCCTGTGTGCAGTGGTCTCTGCCAGTGTCTCCGTGGTCTTCAGATCGTCGGTGCTGACCACTTTCCCCCGCACGTGCTCTCCCCAGCCCTCTCTGCTGGGCTCATCAGCTGTGCATTCCGCTTACTGGCTGCTCTCAGCCATCTGCTTGTTTTCATGTCTGGCCGGAGGTCTGAGGTGCCCCCTTTCCTGGAGTTGACGCCTCTCCCCTGCTGCCCTGTGGGGTGGGAGCGCAGGTGCCGGTTTCTGTCCCAGATGGAGGTTAGAGAGCCTTTGAGGAATGGCCTTTTGGCCCCCCATTTTGAAGACTGTAATAGAGTTCTGGTGTTTTTCAGTTCTTTGTATTCATGTTGCACGTGAGTTCTGTTTCCTGTTACGTGTTGGGAAAGGACTTAGGAGAGGCAGGCCGGCGTGGTGGTGGGTGCAGGTCGCCGCTTGGGCTGAAAACAGTCTTACTGCTCTTAGAGTCGCTGTGTTTGAGATTGAGAATCCAGGTTGCAGGGCTCTGGTGGTGGCTGCTCCTCAGTGTCTTGGTGGCAGGAAGGGACCAGGGGCTGGGCAGTCCGTGGCAGCCGTGGCCCTTCCCTGCTGGGCGCTGCCTGCCCTGTCTCCATACGGCTGTGCTGGGAGCTGCACATGGCCCTTGTGCACGCCTCACATTGGGTGGCGCTGTCTGCAGCTGGCCAGGCCTCGGGGCTCTTGTGCATGCGGCCGTCTTGGCTTTGATCTGGCTACAGAGGGTCATCAGGTGTCTGCGTGTGTTTGGTGTAGGATGGAGGCACAGAGTGCCTCAGGGCGAGCCGGCTGTGGTGGCTGCTGGCACACGGCTCACAGGACAGGGCGGCTGCATTCTCATGGCCTTGCAGAGTGGTTTGCATTTTCCCCAAAGATTCCTCCAGGCCAGGTTGTAGTTGGGATGAACCAAGCAGAGATACTGACCACAAGGGCCTCTCTGTCACGTCATGGGTGGTCCGTCAGAGCCCCTCCCGTGTTCTTGACAGATTTTACTTTAAAGTGGCTTAGTCCACACCCTGAGTGTAAACTCCGTGGCCCCTCGCGTGGAGTGCCCGCTGGCTGTGGGCGGAGCAGCGACCCGGGGGTGCGGTGAGCACGTGGACCTCCGCCTCGGCCGGCTCCTCCTGTTAAGCGATCTCTGCTTTGTTAGCCGCCTGCTGTGAGCAGTCCCAGGTGAAGCCCAGTAGACATGTTCCAGGCTGTGTTGTGGATCGCTGTCCTGTGTTGTGTGTTGCTTAGACCACACTTGACTTTTTGAAGCTTCGCATGTGGCTGCAGCCGGACCAGCAGCCTGCCGGGCTGTGCAGGGGGCGGCTGTGGCCTCCAGAGGTGTGCGCAGGGACTGCTGCCTCAGCGGCTCTCGTGGCCGTGGCAGGCTGGAGTGGGGCATTGCGTGGCGAGCAGCGCCCTCCTGGCCCCAAGAGCGAGCCAAGGGCCGCCTGTCACTGCCCCTTGCCGTCTGTTGCTGCTTCCTCTGTCTTCCTGGCCTGGTCTCCATACAGCAGGATGCCGATGAGAAGGTTGGCAGCACTCAGACCTTCCAGGGTGGCAGCTGTGGTGCAGTTAGTGGAGACTGGCTGCAGGAGTGGCTGACCTTGATCGCCGCCATGTCAGCACAGGTGGAGGTGGAGATTTCAGAATTAGGCTGCTGCCGTGCAGCATTTGCTTCTTAGGCACTGGGGTGGGTTGGAGGGAGGGGGCGGTGCCATGACCTCCTGCCTCCCCACCCTGTGGTTTGAATCAGTGCCACATCCATCTCTGTGCTGGGTTCACCCAGGAGCCCTGTGCCACTGCCCCGCCTCCCTCTCCTCTCTTTTGGATCTAGGTCACTGTGGAGTTACAGTTTCCTAGAGGAGGTCAGAAAACTTGAAGCTCTTCTGAGAGAAACACAAATGAAAGCTAACCAACGCTATTTTATTTTCCCCTAATTCTGTGTAGTGTAGATAGGTGCCCTGTGGTGAGCAAAACCCTGGGCTCCCTGTGCGGTGTAGACACTAACCACGCATGGGGCGAGAGGAGAGGCCAGAGGGGAGATGGGGGCGCCCAGGGCCCTGCAGGGCTGTGCTGCTGGTGGGTGGATGGCTGGGTGCCCGTGCATGCGTGTGCATCAGCGGGGAGCAGCCAGGCTCTGATGGCGAGGCCCTCGCTGGGTGGAAGCTCAGCACCCGTGTTGGATGGAGTCTGTGGTGGGGCCAGAAGCTGTGTGCGTGCCTCACGCCCGTGTCCCTTCTGGGGCCGTGAGAGGCCGTTACATGTGGACCAGCATGTTCCTGAAAAGCAGCTGCACCAACCAACTTCACAGGTCTTGCCGGGGCTGTGTCCGCGTCCCTGCGTCCTGCTCACCGTCCTCCTCCAGTGGCTGTTTGTCAGGATAGTCCTTGGAATAGTTTCCACTTTTTTCTTCCCTTGTGTGCCATAGAGGTTTTTCTGGCCTCCTCGTGCTGTGAGTTTTTTTCCAGAACAAACCCTTGTGTTTTCTGCAGGTGGCTTTGAGTGACACATATACTGTCCCTTTTCCCCTAGGTTTGTTTGTAAAAACAATGGTGTGTTGTTTGAAAACCAGCTGCTTCAAATTGGACTTAAGTCTGAATTTCGGCAGAATTTAGGTATGTGTTTTAATTACTTAATGAAACTGTCTCTTAGAAATATGGGAAATTAAGAGAAAATATTTGCAAATCATATACTTATAAGGGATAGATATCCAGAATATAAAAAGAACTCCCATAACTCAGTAAGAAAGCAGCCCAATTAAAAAATGGGCAAAAGAACAGCCTGGGCAAACACATCAAGACCCCATCTCTACAACCAGAGGGGGTGGCGGGGAGGTGGGGGTGGGTGCAAAGTTGTTGAAAAGACGACATTCTCCAGGGAAAATACAGGAATGCTCAATAAGCACCTGAAAAGATGGACAAAGTCACGAGGGAAGTGCCAATCAAAACCACAGTGAGCTACCACCTCACCCCTCCAGGATGGCTGTTAGAAAACAAACAAGCAGCCTGTGCAGTGGCTCACGCTTGTAACCCCAGCATGTTGGGAGGCCGAGGCAGGCAGATCACTTGAGGCCAGGAGTTCGAGACTGGCCTGGCTAACATGGTGAAACCCTGTCTCTAATAAAAATACAAAAATTAGCTGGGTGTAGTGGTGTGTGCCTGTGGTCCCAGCTACTTGGGAGGCTGAGGCAGGAGAATCACTTGAACCTGGGAGGCGGAGGTTGCAGTGAGCCAAGATCATGCCACTGCACTACAGCCTGGGCAACAGAGTGAGACTCTGTAAATAAATAAATAAACAGACTGGCCTGGTGGCCTGGTGACTTAGGCCTATAATTCCAGCACTTTGGGAGGCCGAGGTGGGAGGGTCACTTGAGCCCAGGTGTTTGAGACCAGCCTGCACAACATTGTGAGACCCCATCTCTACAAAAAATACAAAAATTAGGTAGACGTGCTGGTGCACACCTGTGGTCCCAGCTACTTGGGAGGCAAAGGTGGGAGGATCGCTTGAGCCCAGGTGTTTGAGGCTGCAGTGAGCTGAGATCTTGCCACTGCACTGCAGCCTGGGCAACAGAGCGAGACCCTGTCGTTCATTCATTCATTCATAAATAATGCATACATCATTATTTATGTATGCATAAATAACCAAAAAGGAAAAAGAGTGTCTGCAGGGCGTGGTGACGTTGGAGCCTTGTACGCCGCTGGTGGGAATGTACAGTAGTGCGGGCACTGTGGGAAGTTCCTCAAAACACAAAAGAAGATGGAATTACTCTGTGACCCAGCAGTTCCACGTCTGGGTACAGACCCCAGAGAATTGAAAGCTGGGTCTTAAAGAGGTACCTGTCCACCCATGTCCAATGGCAGCACTATTCACAATCACCGAAAGTTAGAAACAGCCCAGATGTTCATGGGTGGATGCCTAATTAAACGAAATGTGGTCTGTCGACGCAGTGGAATATTATTCAGCCATCAAACGGCAGAAAGGAATGAAATTCTGATGCATAAAGCAGCACACATGCACCTTGAGGACATGGTGCTCAGTGACACGGGCCAGACACCTGGACAAATCCTGTGTGGCTCCACTCATGCGGTCCCTAGAGCAGTGACTTCGTAGAGACAGAACGTAGCTGGGGGATGCCAGGGCCTAGGCCAGGGGGATGGGGAATTGGTGTTTAATGGGGACAGAGTTCCGTTTGGGAAGATGAGAACGTTCTGGAGATGGTGGTGGTGGCAGCAGCTGCACAGTGTGGATGCACTTCCTGTGCCCTTGTGTGCACCTAAATATGGCTAGGAAGGTGAATGTTAGTGTATTTTACCACAATTTAGGAGAAAGACATAAAAAAGCCTTTGAGTGTAAAAAAATGCTGTGCACGGAACCCTGTGGCTGCAGGGGCCCTGGCTGCGGACCTGCCTCCTCTCAGCGCCTGCCTTGAGCCTCCTCAGGACTGCTCTCTCTCTCATCTGTGAAAAACACAGAAAGAATGTGAAAAAAGAGAATTAGTCCTCTGCCCGCCAGGGGTCTGTTAGAAAAGTGAGGGTTGTCAGAGTGATTCCTGTGGGAAACGCTGCATTGAAAACAGGTGGTGCCTTTAGTCCTGGTTTAAGTTTTTAAGCTCTGGGCCGTGATAGCTTCACGAGGTGTTGGTTTTGGGTTTTTAAATTGTGGGAGGAGTGATGCCAAACTGTTTACTGTTTTCAAAATATTTGAGATTTCCTTTCTGAATTCAAGGGGTATACAGATGTTCACAAAGATTTTTTACTGTGATATAAATAAAAACAGCGACACATCCTAAATGTGCACCTGTGCCGTGGCTGAGCCGCTGCAGTGAGGGCTAGTGTGCAACACCGATGCTGTGCTGGACGCGTGCCCAGCCGGGTCCCCTGACAGGAGGCAGCCGGGGCCGGTGCGTGTGTTTGCATGTTGCAGTCATGGGGCGGGGCCGGCAGAGGCCTGTGTGATTGTGGCGTCCCTGGAAAAGATGCTTGGCAGGCCCCTCCAGCTGTAGCCCAGCCTGCAGACGGGGCGTTCTGTGGGTCCTTCCCCGTGCATATGCGTGTGATCTCACCCATCCCGTGTGGGTGCGCAGGAGGGGCCGAGGGAGGAGGGTGCTGGAGGGCGGAAGTTACCTCTGACTGGAGGAGATACCCGGCCCGTGTTACCAGCACTGGTGTGCTCGTTCTAAAACTGGAAAAAATTTGTTCTTAATTTTAACAACAGTCATACATCACAACAGTGAACTTAAATTCAGCTGAAGATTGTGGGGGGCTCTTGTTTTTCAGGGTAAATATTCAGGGTAAGTGTGAAATGGTGTGTGTGAAAAAATTGTTTTTGTTCCTTCTAGGTCGGATGTTTATCTTTTATGGTAATAAGACCTCCACGCAGTTCCTAAACTTTACCCCAACACTAATCTGTTCAGACGACCTTCAGCCTAATATCCTTGGCTTCATTGCCCCATGCCCGCAGACAGCATAATGTGGGGCTTAGAGGAGGCTTTTGAGGAAGTTTTTTGGTTTTCTTATTTTGTTAAAATAGCGAGATAATTCCAGATGCTATATGAAAATCAGGCAGTCGTAATCTGCCTATGGTGCTGGGCAGGAGAAGGAAAACAGGCAGTCTTCCATATTGGAGAGCCAGCTTTTGATCATGCACCTAAAAATACCGTGTACATGCCTCCTCCCCTTCCATCTGGCCAGTGTGAGTCCCTTTCCTTTTCACCTGCTCTTACTCTCCTGTGACGTGATCTTTAAACCCCTCCTCTCCGAAGCCTCACAGAGCTGCTGCTTGCAGAGTGTGGGAGGCGCCAGTGGGGACTGGAGCGCGGTGCGCACCCCAGCCGAGCTTGTGTGTGCTTCTGGCAGAGCTTTTAGACTGAAGATTTTCCCTTCGTAATGCCAGAAGCGTTCCTAGAACTTCCCCAGCTAAAACAGGGAGACGCTAACGTCTCTACCTCTAAGGATAGGCCCGCCAAATAGAGTTAGCGTGAAGACCCCAGCTTGACCAGAGATGGTGACACCTGGGGATTTATGGTCAGCGACCTGAGTGAAGCAACATCCTCCTTGCCACTGGCTGGTCTGTTCATTTTAACATGAACATGTTTTAATGCAGACTGTTCAAGCTGTTTCAAAACAGTCATTAAAAATACACATGCAGGAGCACCTGTATTAAAGACTTTGTTTGGAATCTGGAGTGGAAGCTCTGACTCCTACTGCGCCCTTCTTTAGGGGTCTCTCCCTCGGGGTCCACTTGGCTCGAGGCGGCAGCGAGCCCAGCAGCTGAGTGGCCGGCGGCACACGACCCAGAGGGAAGGAGAGGCCTGCACCCCGCTGCCTCCTGGACCCAGCTTTGCTGCTGTCACTGTTTCTTCAGGAGAGGCTGTAGGCAAACCCTTGTTTTCCAGCATGAAAACAACCCTGGTCCCAGCAGGGCAGGCTCTTTTCTGTGTCTCGCTGTTTCAGGAGCCTGCTATTCCTGGGATTCTTAAAGTTTTCCTGCCCTACTAAGCACCAGTTTCTGCTAACGGTGACAAAAATTGTGTGTGTAAGACCCAGAGCCGAGGCTCAGAGTGAAAACAGACAAGTAGTATATAATCTAAGTGACTTTTTAAAATGGAGGAGCCATTCTGGAAGCGTGAGAAGCAGACAGTGTTTTGAGGATTGTCTGGGTGGAAGGGCAGGGCCGGGTGGTGTGGCTGCCCTCGACCCGTAGCTGGTGGTCCTAGAGTGTGGTGAGTGTGCTCGCCTCCACGGGTCCTGCTGGGGCTCTAGCCCGGCCCGTTTCCGCTTCTGCCACTGGGACTTGCTCAGCTGGATTCCTTAACGCACGCACACCTGAACCTGCAGACCAAGCCCGTGGACCCGACCGTGGAGGGGGGCGCGCAGGTGCAGCAGGTGGTCAACATAGAGTGCGTGTCCGACTTCACGGAGGCGCCAGTCCTCAACATTCAGTTCAGGTAAGAGCCGCCTGTGCGCCCCGGGCCAAGGGGTGTGTGGGCGCCTGAGCTGTGTGCCTGGGCTCCATGACTGTGCCTCCGTGTCCTTCCTGAGGGGACCCGGGGCGTGCGGGTGCTCACGGTGCATGGATGCGGCCTGAGCTATTGCTGCCCCCGGCTCTGCAGAGCGCAGGAAACAAGGGGAGGCGGAGCCCTGGGCTCCGGGACGGCAGGTGGCAGCTCCCACATGGGGCCTTGCTAGGATCTTTCTGGGCACCATGGGGCCCACCTCATGGGGTGGCAGACAGCCAGGGCCCCCGCGCCACCTGCCCGGCTTGGTACCAGACGACAGCTGTGGGGTGCAGGCAGCTGGTTTCCTTCGGCCCCCTGGCCTGGGGGGCGCGTTTTTTGCTCAGTTGAGCTCAGATCGTACCACTTTGCTTATTTTTTAAAAGCATAGGATTTTCCTGTTGCGACTGTTCATTACTCTCACTTTTCAGTGACTACAAATAGCGTGGATACAGTCAGCCCGTCCCCTGCTGGGTGTCTGCAAGGTTAGGAATGTTGAGAAAAGCACACTTTCTAACATTAAAAAGACAGAGAACTTAAGATTGTATACTGTAGAATTCGGGGACATAGACATGCAAGTTTTTGTTTCATTCTTTGTGCAAATGCCTTTGCCTTTTTAAAGAAAAAACATCACACTATTTGCACAGACTTGGAGTTCTGGGAAACAGATGAATGGGGAGAAGTGAGGCACAGGGACGTCCTGCCTGAGTATGCGGCCCTGGCCTGTCCTCCTGTCTGTGGGTGACACTGGACACTGAGCCACACACGATCCGTGGGGACTGAAGGCTCGGCCCCCCGACCCGCTCTGGTGGGTGGCAGTAGATCGGGACGCTTCTCACTCCAGGCTCTTTCCCGGTCCCTGGGGCTCTCAGAGGAGTAGCTGACTGTCTCTTTCTGCTGCTGCTGCTGCTGGCAGGTATGGGGGCACCTTCCAGAACGTGTCTGTGCAGCTGCCCATCACTCTCAACAAATTCTTCCAGCCGACAGAAATGGCTTCTCAGGATTTCTTTCAACGTTGGAAGCAGTTGAGCAAGTGAGAAACCTGTTTCCTGTAGGGGTCAGGGGTGGGGACGGGGCTCATTTGAAAAGGTGGGTTTTGGTCTCTGGCCTGGCTGAGAACACTCGCCTTTGCTGTTTCTCACAGTCCACAGCAGGAAGTGCAGAACATCTTCAAAGCAAAGCACCCAATGGACACAGAAGTCACCAAAGCCAAGGTAACACGTCTGGAGGGACGGCCCCGGGGGACACGCAGCCCGTGACCCCGCGCCAGGGTCTGGAGGGACGGCCCCGGGGGACACGCAGCCCGCGACCCAGCGCCAGGGTCTGGAGGGGCGGCCCCGGGGGACACGCTGCCCGCGACCCCGCGCCAGGGTCTGGAGGGGCGGCCCCGGGGGACACGCAGCCCGCGACCCAGCGCCAGGGTCTGGAGGGGCGGCCCCGGGGGACACGCTGCCCGCGACCCCGCGCCAGGGTCTGGAGGGGCGGCCCCGGGGGACACGCAGCCCGCGACCCAGCGCCAGGGTCTGGAGGGGCGGCCCCGGGGGACACGCAGCCCACGACCCAGCGCCAGGGTCTGGAGGGGCGGCCCCGGGGGACACGCTGCCCGCGACCCCGCGCCAGGGTCCTCATTCTCCTGTTTCTTTGGACAGATCATTGGATTTGGTTCTGCACTTCTTGAAGAAGTTGATCCTAATCCTGCGAATTTCGTGGGAGCTGGAATCATCCACACGAAAACCACCCAGATTGGATGCCTGCTGCGCTTGGAGCCGAACCTGCAAGCCCAGGTCAGGCCCTCAGGAAATGGTGGAACACACTTGAGTTGCTTTTTATTCTGGCACAATGTACGTGGTGAGATGTGTAGCTCTTTAGTGCAGTTCAGTCAGTTTTGACAGATGTTGTTTAACCACCACCCTGTCAATACATGGTTGCCTCCCAGCCTCCCCGCAGCTGGCCACCGTGGAGCATCATCCCTAGTGCAGTTCAGTCAGTTGTGACAGATGTTGTGTGCCTGTTTAACCACCACCCTGTCAATACATGGTTGCATCCCAGCCTCCCCACAGCTGGCCACCGTGGAGCATCGTCCCACCATGGAGCAGCCTGGCCCTGGGCGGTGGCTCTCCCAGCTGTTCCTCTCTGTCACCGCGTTGTTCCTTCTCACCACGTCCCGTTCTGGCGACGGACACCTGTCTCCGTTTCACTTGGGTGGCACCCAGGAGTGCTGCTGTCGCCCAGGGCCTGTGTGTGGTTAGTGCTGCAAGAACATCCCACAGCTTCTCCAGGTGGCCGTGCCACTTTGCACTCCCGCCAGCTACGTACGAGACGCCAGGCGCTCCCATGCCAGCCCTCAGTTTTCATGCTGACAGTGTGTGTGGTGCTCAGGCCTCTGCCGAGTTGTGGGTGCCTCCAGAGAGTGGTCCCTGGGCATGGCCCACAGGGTTCTGCATGGCGGATCCTGGACCCGAGGGCTGTGTGAGCCTCGGCGTGCCCGTTGACCTGCTGTGCTCTCTGTTTCAGATGTACCGGCTCACGCTGCGCACAAGTAAGGAAGCCGTTTCTCAGAGATTATGTGAATTGCTCTCAGCGCAGTTTTAGTCCTGAGGATGGAAGACCAGGCTCGTGTGTCTTGTGTTGTCTTCGTCTGTGCCGTTTGTCTTCGTGGCCATCCTGCAGATGAGCACCGTATCCAGTGCCACAGCACAAGGCGCCTCCCCGCCCCGCCGCCCCACACCTCTCCCCTTTGGGCTGGACGGGAACACACGTGTGTGGCTCAGGAGGAAAAGCTCAGCCTGGACTGTGGCAGCCACGGCAGAAGGTGGATCTTGGGATCAATTTTTATAAAAATCGAGACAGTTCTGTGGTTAAATCTACAAATTAAAGGGAAATTAGAAGTTGGCGTGAACGTGGCGTTTGTGGGAGTGTCACTGAGATGGCCCGTGCTGCCGCCCACCCCGCCTCGGAGCCTCTGGGAGCAGCAGTGCCACTGTGCATGGCGTGGGCTGAGCCTTGGTGTGTGGCCGTCCTGGTGGCTGCACACCTGGCGTCGTCCTGGGCCCTTGGGAGGAGCACAGCTGACCCTGGTTTTGCTGCAGTCCCAGCTGGACTGTTTTCCCAGGCAGGATTTTAATCTAGAATTTAGAAACATTTGTATTTGTAATGACTTCTGGCAAAAGCACGTGTCCTGGCCGGATGTAACTGTTCTCCTTTCCCAGCTCCTGTTTGTGAAGGGCGTCTGTTATGCTCCTGCAGTCGCCGAGGCCTTGGATGTGCAGCCAGGGGAGGAGCGTCCTGCCGGCCCCGCAGGGCCCCCAGGACTCCAGGGTAAAGTGTGGGCCGGTGGCGCAAGACTCAGAGGTGTGCTCGTCTCTTTCCTGTCAGAGTGGGCGTCCCCAGGCCACGGTGCAGGCCTGAGTCCTTCCACCGGCCCCGTCCAGTCGTCCCTGGAGGGGCTGTGGAGGAGGGACGCCTCTGTGTGGTCAGGAAGTGAAGGGGCCATTGGCCGCATGCCATGTGCCACCTGCGGCTTGTGTCTCACCTGTCATCTGGACTCAGCACCCAGGCTGCACGTCTGACACCTGAGAGGCGAGAGAGTGGGGCCGGCCTAGGAGCCAAGGCTGGGGCCTTGCGCTCTGTCCCCAGGATGGTGGCCTTGTTTGTCCTAAACACACCCAGCACAGGTTCTGGCTTCCTGACATGCTGTGGAGGCAGGGAGGGTGGGTGGCCACATGTGCTTGAGGGTTTTCACCCTGGCCCTCAGTTGCCTGCTGTGCGGGTCCCTGGGGCAGCTGCAGGGGCTCATGGACCCATCAGGGTCTCCACAGCTCCCCTGCAGTGTGTGCACCCCACAATGTCTGCGGCTCTTCTTCCGGCGTGTCGGGCTTTGATCACAGCATAGCCACGTCAGTGGCGTGCGCCTCTCGCACAGGCCATTCTGGGTCTGGTGGTGCCAGGTGCCGTGACACGCCGTGCTGGGCTTGTGCTGCAGCTGGGTGGTGTGGCCCTCATTCTCATGTTCCAGCTGCTGGGCAGTGCTCTGCCTGTGTGCTGCGCCTGCAGGCTGCGTGTGCTGCCGTGGATCTCCTGCATCCCTTGACCCCTCCCGCCATCAGAGGAAAGGCTGCTCCCCGAGGCACCGCTTCCCTGTGCGGCGCTGCAGAGGGGCCCTCAGTGTGGCACTCCTCGTCAAAGAAAAATAAAGGCTAGAACTGCACCCCGGATCACGCGCTTTCTTTGGGGGGAAAGCATCCCATGTAACCCTCATAGCTCCCCGGGGGTCGCGTGAGGCACAGACCCCAAGGTCCCCGACCTGTCCTTCAGCAGTGGGCTCACGGGCAGCGGGCATCAGAAAGTGACCTGCCCTTTGCTCCGCCGGTTTGATTCTGGGTGTGTGGTGGAGCTTTTTGGGACTCAGGTCATGCGGGAACCCCTCCAGCCTGGCCGCAGGGCTCCCCACTGTACAGTGTGTTGAGGTGCAGCCCAGGGCTCCTTCCTGGGGAACGGGAGGCCCCGTGGGGATCCTCCAGTTGATCCTACCACAGATGGTGCAGAAGGGGCTCTCGGGCAGATGGGGGTGGCCCCCGGAGGACGGTGGGCTTCGCCAGAGACGGAACAGTCCTAATGGAGGGAGGGCAGGGGCCCAAAGCCAGAGGCAGCTTCTCTTACCAGCCCAGACCCTGCTGGGGGCAGCCCTGCCCAACTGCAGATCCCAGGGGCCCACAGGGTGCAGATGTGGGTCGGGTGCCTACTAAGGGACTGGGGAGAGGCAAAAGCAGTGCTCAGGGACCAGCCTCTGTGCCTTGACAAGAACCGGTTTATTTGGAGTCTCTGACCGGGTGACGCCCTCTCCCAAGGACAGGCTGCTGGGGATGGGTGTGGTGCTGGTGGGGGCCTTCTGCCTGGCTGGGAGCGGGGGCGGCTGCCCTGCCCTCGCTGCCACCCTCTGCCCTCCCTGACTCTGGGGATCTCCTCTTCTCTGTGCTGGTGGCTGCCTGGGCCTCTTGCCCCCATCTCGGCACAGGTTTCCGTGCCCTCCTCGCCCCTGATGGGTCTGGTCGAGCGCCTGCTCTGTGGCTTCATCTGCAGGGTTCTGGGCCCAGCAGGGCTGGGGCCAAGTTCAGGGGCTGGGAGGTGTTGGACGGTGGGCAGGGGTGGTCGGGAGTGCCCTGTGTGCCTGGGAGGTCCGTGACCACTGTCCGCCTCAGTCCCTCTCTGCTGGCTCAGGGTCTGCAGGAGTGTGGTAGTCTGAGCCCCTGCTTGGCAGCCCCTCTCCAACCGGTGCCCCAGGGAGCCACGGCCCAGGGCACTTGGGGGCCAGGCCTGGTGACCAGGAAAGCAGCTGCTGGCACAAGCGGGAAGGGGGCTGGTGGGTGTTTTCCTGTCTGTCATCTGCAGTCCTTCAGCCCCAGGAGAGCAGGCAGCGACCCTGCTAGTCTCCACAGGCCACAGAGCTGCACACGCAGTGGCTGAACACCTGCAGGGTGAGTACGAGCCGCCGGCCAGGCGTGCTGGGATCGGGGCAGGGCAGCTCCAGCTGCTGCTCATAGGAGTGGAGGGGGCGGCAGCAGCTGCAGCGGGCATCCACCTGCTGGGTGATGATGTTGAAGCTGCCGAGAAGTCAAGACAGAGCAGGGTCATGACTGCTGCAGGGGCATAAGGCCCCTCCCTCCCCAGGGCAGCTGCTCCGCAGAGGCCTGGACCTCCCCGCTGAGCTCCCGGCTCACAGGGGCCAGGGCGGTGTTGGGCAGATGGAGCGCAGAGTGGCTCACCTGATGGGGCAGCAGGCGCCTGGGTGGGGTGCCCGAACCTCTCTGGGGTGGGGTTGTGAGCACCTTGGTGGACGTGGGGCAGGCCTCCCACCTGTGGACTCACCTGGCAGCGGAAATGCAGGCGCCCTCACAGCGGGTTACCGTCACGTTCGCCATGCACCCCTTGAACGTGATCTCCTCCTGCTGCTCCCGCACACTGCAGACCCCTGGTAGCCGAGTGGACGGTCAGCAGCGCCCAGGGTGGGCATGGAGCGAGGAGGGAGGGAAACCCTGGCTAGAGACCGGGGTCCCCACCTGTCTCTGGACTCTCCTGCCCAAGGTGTGGTCTCCCCTTGTGGAGCCCCACAGAGCTCAGACCTCAGCCATACACAAAGGCAAAGGCCAGCCGCATCCTAGTTTGTTTTTTCCCCTCAAAGTCGCTCTGCTGGAGTCCATAAGGTAGAGAATTTTCTCAGCGGACTCAGCAGATACTGAGCCCTGGGCCTGTGTGAGCCACCCTTGGGCCCCAGCTTCCCTGATGACCAACCCCAGGCCTCAACACTGACCTGTGGGCATGGGCCTCTCTGGTTGGCCAGACCCAGGACCTGCAGGGGGGCCGAGGACACCGTGCCAGTGACCCCAGAGCGGGACATATGGTGTTGCAGGAGCTCCGTGTGCCCCAGCTGGGGAGGAGGGAAGTGGAGCAGGCCCCGTGGTCTGGGCTCCTGGAAGGGGCGGGGTGGGGGCCCGCGGGGAAGGCCCAGAGACAGCCAGCCTCAGCGAGAGGCCTGGGTACGTGGCAGGCAGCACAGAGCAGGGTGGACCGATGCAGGCAGTGGCAGCGTTGGCATTAGAAACCGCCACTGGAGAGCGTGGGTTTAAAAGTGGAAAAGGAGTCCTGGGGTAAAGGCTGGACTCTGCTGCCCGTGTGCCCTCCCCTGGCTGCTCCCAGCTTCGTTTCCTGGCTGCAGAGAAGACAGGTCACCTGGAGCCTACCTGCCCGCTGCAGAGGGCTTTCTCCGGGAGGGTCAGGACTCTGGGTGCTTCCATAGGCCCTGCCGTCCCCAGCTGCCCTCCCCTCCCAGCTGGTTCCTGCTCCCTCGCCTCTGCTTCTTGGGGTCACCTCCCTGGTTACACCTTGCACCCAAGTCCCGGTCTCAGGGAGGGACCCGAACCAAGATTCCCTCAGCTTGCAGCAACGAGCTGCCACCCACGTGAGAGACCACGAAGGCAACTGTGGCGTTGTCGCCTGGTGGAGGTCGATGCATGCGAGGGACCCAGTCCCTGGGTGGTTGCTGTGAGAGGAACACCCAGGAGGGAAGGGAGGGACATCCCTGGAACGCGAGGTGAGGTGAGGTGGACATGGATAAGGCCTGAGGTGTGCTCTGTCCCCAGGCATCCCATGGCCTGGGGAGCAGTGGACTCGCTCACAGGCATGGGCCGGGAAGAGCCGTGGCCCAGAGAATTGGCATGAGCACGAAGGAGCAGGTGCCCTGGTTGCCAGGTCCAGCTCCACCTTCAACAGGTCCTTTGGGGCGAGGCAGGGGATGTGCCAGACTTTTGTGTCTCTCTCTGCACTTGGAGGAAGGGCTGTGCTGCTTGAACCCTGGGGTTGGGCCAGCCCTGACATCCTCTGAGCAACCAAAGGGGCAGCCAGGGAAGGCTTTTGGCAGGTAACACTCTGAGGGGAGGCCAGGAGTGCAGCAGTGACCGGGCATGAGTGAGCCAGTGCAGGGAAAGGTCAAGGTTAGCTGGGGAACAAGGCCCAACGGGGAGGCCAGGCACTTGCTTGGCCAGGACAGCGTTGGCATAGAGGGTGCCCAGGAGAGGAGAGTGGAAACGCCTGGCAGGTGTGTAGGGAAGGCAGGGAACAGGCGTGTGGTCCTGGGATCACAGGACCATGAGGGGTAAGCTGAGGCAGGGGCTGCCTGGGAGTCATGAGCACAGAGGTGAGGCCAGGAGAAGGGCCACAGAGATGCCACTTACCGGGTGAGGTGGGCGTAGGTGTCCCGAGAGAAGATACCGGGGCAGAAGCAGGGGTGCTTCCATGGGCAGTGAGGGAGCTGGTCAGGAACCGTGTGGTAGGCGACAAGGTGGGACCAGGGTGCCTGGTGGTAAGGTTGGTGACTGGAGAGGTGGGGATACCCGTCACCCCCGAGGTGAGTGACACAAAGCCTGATGTGGGAACTCGGGTGGTGAGAGAAGTGGACCGCGAGGTGGTGGACTGAGAGGAGAAGGCAGGGGCGGTGTGGGTGCTGGCCGTGGTCCTGGGCGTGGACGGAAATGCAATGGTGCTGGAGGCTAGGTGGCTGGATGGGGTGGGAGACACGGTAACAGTGGATATGGGGAGTAGAGCAGAGAGGGTGAAAGGAGAGGAGATAGTGTGGGGGAGAGTGGCCCTAATGGTAGTAGAGGCAGCTGGAGAAGAAGGAAAAAGAGGAGATGCAGACACTGATGCAGTCGTGGGATGAGTGGACAATGAGGAGTGTGACCCCGAGCTCAGGGTTGTGGAGTGCACGGGGGCGGACACGAAAGAGGAAGATGTGCCAACAGAAGGCGATGAAGTCTGGGGAGAGGAGTGGGAGGAGGGCACATAAGAAGAAACAGTAGAGGGGGCAGAAGGACTGGGAGAAAATGAGGAGGACAGCTGATTAGTTGTGGAAACAGGAGTGGTTGCAGAACTCAAGTGGGGGAGTTGTGTGGTGATAGGTGATGACGGTGGCCTTGAGCTAGAGTTCTGAGGCAGCCAAGACGAGGAGGATATGAAGGAAGAAGAGGCTGTAGCTGTGCTGAATGAGCTGTGGGTTTGGCTGGTCCCACTGGTGGTCACTGTCATTGGTGGGGCTGTGTGGGTGGACCCTGTGGCCTTGAGCGTTGTTGGTGGAGGAACGGTGCCTGTTGGCGTTGAGTGGATGGAGGCAGAAGTGGCCATCTGTGTGTGGGTAGTGATGATGACTGTGTGAGTACTTGGAGTCACCAAGGAGGTGGAGAAAGGTGGAACGTGAGTGGGAAGTGTGGTCTGAGGGTGTGATGGGGTTGGATAGGTAGTGGTGGTCTGGAAGGATGTTGCAGTCATAGGACCTGTGGAAGAGAAGGGACTGCTCCCTGTAGGTGGGGAGTGTGTGGTGAAGGGTGTGGGTAGCCTGCTGCTGCTGGCCGAGGTGGTGTGGGCCACAGGGGTTCTGGTGCCTGTACTGGTGTGTTTGGGGGTGATGTTGGTGGTAGAAGTTGGGGTGACTTCAGGATGGTGTGTTGAGGAAGTGTGGTAAGGTAGGGATGTAGAAGTTTTGGCCGTGCTAAATGAGCTTGGGGATTGGCTGGTCCCACTGGTGGTCGGTGTCATTGGTGGGGCTGTGTGGGTGGACCCTGTGGCCTTGATCGTGGTCGGTGGAGGAATGGTGCCTGTTGGCATTGAGTGGATGGAGGCAGAAGTGGCCATCTGTGTGTGGGTAGGGATGATGACCGTGTGAGTACTTGGAGTCACCAAGGAGGTGGAGAAAGATGGAACGTGAGTGGGAAGTGTGGTGTGAGGGTGTGATGGGGTTGGATAGGTAGTGGTGGTCTGGAAGGATGTTGCAGTGACAGGACCTGTGGAAGAGATGGGAGTGGTCCCTGTAGGTGGGGAGTGTGTGGTGAAGGGTGTGGGTAGCCTGCTGCTGGTGGCCGACGTGGTGTGGGCCACAGGGGTTCTGGTGCCTGTACTGGTGTGGTTGGGGGTGATGCTGGTGGTAGAAGTTGAGGTGACTTCAGGATGGTGTGTGGAGGAAGTGTGTGAATGTAGGGATGTAGAGGTTTTGGCCGTGCTAAATGAGCTTCGGGATTGGCTGGTCCCACTGGTGGTCACTGTCATTGGTGGGGTTCCTGTACTGGTGGGGTTGGGGGTGATGTTGGTGGTAGAAGTTGAGGTGGCTTCAGCATGGTGTGTGGAGGAAGTGTGTGAATGTAGGGATGTAGAGGTTTTGGCTGTGTTTAATGAGCTCAGGGCTTGGCTGGTCCCACTGGTGGTCGGCGTCATTGTTGGCGCTGTGTGGGTGGACCCTGTGGCCTTGAGCGTTGTCGGTGGAGGAATCGTGCCTGTTGGCATTGAGTGGATGGAGGCAGAAGTGGCCATCTGTGCATGGGTAGGGGTGATGACTGTGTGAGTACTTGGAGTCACCAAGGAGGTGGAGAAAGGTGGAACGTGAGTGGGAAGTGTGGTCTGAGGGTGTGATGGGGTTGGATAGGTAGTGGTGGTCTGAAAGGATGGTGCAGTCATAGGACCTGTGGAAGAGATGGGACTGCTCCCTGTAGGTGGGGAATGTGTGGTGAAGGGTGTGGGTAGTCTGCTGCTGGTGGCCGAGGTGGTGTGGGCCACAGGGGTTCTGGTGCCTGTACTGGTGTGTTTGGGGGTGATGTTGGTGGTAGAAGTTGGGGTGACTTCAGGATGGTGTGTGGAGGAAGTGTGGTAAGGTAGGGATGTAGAAGTTTTGGCCGTGCTAAATGAGCTTAGGGATTGGCTGGTCCCACTGGTGGTCGGTGTCATTGGTGGGGCTGTGTGGGTGGACCCTGTGGCCTTGATCGTGGTCGGTGGAGGAATGGTGCCTGTTTGCATTGAGTGGATGGAGGCAGAAGTGGCCATCTGTGCGTGGGTAGGGGTGATGACTATGTGAGTACTTGGAGTCACCAAGGAGGTGGAGAAAGATGGAACGTGAGTGGGAAGTGTGGTCTGAGGGTGTGATGGTGTTGGATAGGTAGTGGTGGCATGGAAGGATGTTGCAGTGACAGGTCCTGTGGAAGAGATGGGAGTGGTCCCTGTAGGTGGGGAGTGTGTGGTGAAGGGTGTGGTTAGCCTGCTGCTGGTGGCTGAGGTTGTGTGGGCCACGGGTGTCCAGGTTCCTATACTGGTGGGGTTGAGGGTGATGTTGGTGATAGAAGTTGGGGTGACTTCAGGATGGTGTGTGGAGGAAGTGTGTGAATGTAGGGATGTAGAGGTTTTGGCTGTGTTGAATGAGCTTGAGGCTTGGCTGGTCCCACTGGTGGTTGGCATCATTGGTGGGGCTGTGTGGGTGGACCCTGTGGCCTTCAGCGTTGTCGGTGGAGGAATGGTGCCTGTTGGCGTTGAATGGATGGAGGCGGAAGTGGCCATCTGTGCGTGGGTAGGGGTGATGACTGTGTGAGTACTTGGAGTCACCAAGGAGGTGGAGAAAGGTGGAACGTGAGTGGGAAGTGTGGTCTGAGGGTGTGATGGGGTTGGATATGTAGTGGTGGTCTGGAAGGATGTTGCAGTCATAGGACCTGTGGAAGAGATGGGACTGCTCCCTGTAGGTGGGGAGTGTGTGGTGAAGGGTGTGGTTAGCCTGCTGCTGGTGGCTGAGGTGGTGTTTGCCACAGGCGTTCTGATGCCTGTATTGGTGGGGTTGGGGGTGATGGTGGTGGTAGAAGTTGGGGTGACTTCAGGATGGAGTGTTGAAGAAGCATGTGAGTGTAGGGATGTGGAGGTTTTGGCTGTGCTGAAAGAGCTGTGCGCTTGGCTGGTCCCGCTGGTGGTCACTGTCATTCGTGGTGCTGTGTGCGTGGACCCTGTGCCTGTGGCCTTTACCGTTGTAGGTGGAGGAATGTGTGAATGTAGGGATGTAGAAGCCCAGTGCCGTGCTAAATGAGCTTGGGGATTGGCTGGTCCCACTGGTGGTTGCCGTCATTGGTGGGGCTGTGTGGGTGGACCCTGTGGCCTTGATCGTGGTCGGTGGAGGAATAGTGCCTGTTGGCATTGAGTGGATGGAGGCAGAAGTGGCCATCTGTGCGTGGGTAGGGGTGATGACTATGTGAGTACTTGGAGTCACCAAGGAGGTGGAGAAAGATGGAACGTGAGTGGGAAGTGTGGTGTGAGGGTGTGATGGGGTTGGATAGGTAGTGGTGGTCTGAAAGGATGTTGCAGTCATAGGACCTGTGGAAGAGATGGGACTGCTCCCTGTAGGTGGGGAATGTGTGGTGAAGGGTATGGGTAGCCTGCTGCTGGTGGCCGAGGTGGTGTGGGCCACAGGGGTTCTGGTGCCTGTACTGGTGTGGTTGGGGGTGATGGTGGTGGTAGAAGTTGGGGTGACTTCAGGATGATGTGTTGAGGAAATGTGTGAATGTAGGGATGTAGAAGTTTTGGCCGTGCTAAATGAGCTTGGGGATTGGCTGGTCCCACTGGTGGTTGCCGTCATTGGTGGGGCTGTGTGGGTGGACCCTGTGGCCTTGATCGTGGTCGGTGGAGGAATAGTGCCTGTTGGCATTGAGTGGATGGAGGCAGAAGTGGCCATCTGTGCGTGGGTAGGGGTGATGACTATGTGAGTACTTGGAGTCCCCAAGGAGGTGGAGAAAGATGGAACGTGAGTGGGAAGTGTGGTGTGAGGGTGTGATGGGGTTGGATCGGTAGTGGTGGTCTGGAAGGATGTTTGCAGTCATAGGACCTGTGGAAGAGATGGGACTGCTCCCTGTAGGTGGGGAGTGTGTGGTGAAGGGTATGGGTAGCCTGCTGCTGGTGGCCGACGTGGTGTGGGCCACAGGGGTTCTGGTGCCTGTACTGGTGTGGTTGGGGGTGATGCTGGTGGTAGAAGTTGAGGTGACTTCAGGATGATGTGTTGAGGAAGTGTGTGAATGTAGGGATGTAGAGGTTTTGGCCGTGCTAAATGAGCTTCGGGATTGGCTGGTCCCACTGGTGGTCGACGTCATTGGTGGGGCTGAGGGGAAGGACCCTGTGGCCTTGAGCGTTGTTGGTGGAGAAATGGTGCCTGTTGGCGTTGAGTGGATGGACGCATAAGTGGCCATCTGTGCGTGGGTAGGGGTGATGACTGTGTGAGTACTTGGAGTCACCAAGGAGGTGGAGAAAGATGTAACGTGAGTGGGATGTGTGGTCTGAGGGTGTGATGGTGTTGGATAGGTAGTGGTGGTCTGGAAGGATGTTGCAGTCATAGGACCTGTGGAAGAGAAGGGACTGCTCCCTGTAGGTGGGGAGTGTGTGGTGAAGGGTGTGGTTAGCCTGCTGCTGGTGGCTGAGGTGGTGTGGGCCACAGGGGTGCCGGTTCCTGTACTGGTGGGATTGGGGGTGATGGCGGTAGAAGTTGGGGTGACTTCAGGAAGGTGTGTGGAGGAAGTTTGTGAATGTAGGGATGTAGAGGTTTTGGCTGTGTTGAATGAGCTCAGGGCTTGGCTCGTCCCGCTGGTGGTCGGCGTCATTGTTGGCGCTGTGTGGGTGGACCCTGTGGCCTTGAGCGTTGTTGGTGGAAGAACGGTGCCTGTTGGCGTTGAGTGGATGGAGGCAGAAGTGGCCATCTGTGTGTGGGTAGTGATGATGACTGTGTGAGTACTTGGAGTCACCAAGGAGGTGGAGAAAGGTGGAAGGTGAGTGGGAAGTGTGGTCTGAGGGTGTGATGGGGTTGGATAGGTAGTGGTGGTCTGAAAGGATGTTGCAGTCATAGGACCTGTGGAAGAGATGGGACTGCTCCCTGTAGGTGGGGAATGTGTGGTGAAGGGTATGGGTAGCCTGCTGCTGGTGGCCGAGGTGGTGTGGGCCACAGGGGTTCTGGTGCCTGTACTGGTGTGGTTGGGGGTGATGGTGGTGGTAGAAGTTGGGGTGACTTCAGGATAGTGTGTGGAGGAAGTGGACATCTGTGCGTGGGTAGGGGTGATGACTGTGTGAGTACTTGGAGTGACTGATGAGGTGGAGAAAGGTGGAACATGAGTGGTAAGTGTGGTCTGAGGGTGTGATGGGGTTGGATAGGTCGTGGTGGTCTTGATGGATGTTGCAGTCATAGGACCTGTGGAAGAGATGGGACTGCTCCCTGTAGGTGGGGAGTGTGTGGTGAAGGGTGTGGGTGGCCTGCTGCTGGTGGCCAAGGTGGTGTGGGCCACAGGGGTGCTGGTTCCTGCACTAGTGGACTTGGGAGTAATGTTGGTGGTAGAAGTTGGTGTGGTTTCCGGATGGTGTGTGGAGGAAGCATGTGAGAGGATGGATGTAGAGGTTTTGGCTATGCTGAATGAGCTGTGGGCTTGGGTGGTCCGAATGGTTGTCCCCGTCATTGGTGAGGCTGTGTGTGTGGACCCTGTGGCCGTGAGCGTTGTCAGTGGAGGAATGGTACCTGTTGGCGTTGAGTGGATCGAGGCAGAAGTGGACATCTGTGCATGGGTAGGGGTGATGACTGTGTGAGTACTTGGAGTCACTGACGAGCTGGAGAAAGGTGGAACGTGAGTGGGAAGTGTGGTCTGAGGGTGTGATGTGGTTGGATAGGTAGTGGTGGTCTTGAAGGATGTTGGAGTCATAGGACCTGTGGGAGAGAGGGGACTGCTCTCTGTAGGTGGGGAGTGTGTGGTGAAGGGTGGTGGTGAGCGTTGTCAGTGGAGGAATGGTGCCTGTTGACGTTGAGTGGTTGGAGGCAGAAGTGGACATCTGTGGGTGGGTTGGGGTGATGACTGTGTGAGTACTTGGAGTCACCGATGAGGTGGAGAAAGGTGGAACATGAATGGGAAGTGTGATGTGAGCTTGTGATGGGGTTGGATAGGTAGTGGTGGTCTTGAGAGATGTTGCAGTCATACGACCTGTGGAAGAGAGGGGACTGCTCCTGGTAGGTGAAGAGTGTGTTGTGATGGGTGTGGGTGGCCTGCTACTGGTGGCCGAGGTGGTGTGGGTCACAGGGGTGCTGGTGCCTCTACTGGTGGACTTGGGAGTCACGTTGGTGGTAGAAGTTGGGGTGACTTCAGGATGGTGTGTGGAGGAAGCATGTGAGTGGAGGGATGTAGAGGTTTTGGCTGTGCTGATTGAGCTGTGGGCTTGGCTGATCCTACTGGTGGTTGCCGTCATTAGTGGGGCTGTGTAGGTGGACCTTGTGGCCTTAACTGTTGTTGGTGGAGCAATCGTGCCTGTTGGCGTTGAGTGGATATAGGCAGAAGTGGACATCTGTGGGTGGGTAGGGGTGATGACTGTGTGAGTAATTGGAGTCACCAAAGAGGTTGAGAAAGGTGGAACGTGAGTGAGAAGAGTGGTCTGAGGGAGTGATGGGGTTGGATAGGTAGTGGTGGTCTTGAAGGATGTTGCCGTCATGGGACCTGTGGAAGAGAAGGGACTGCTCCCTGTAGGTGGGGAGTGTGTGGTGAAGGGTGGTGGTGGCCTGCTGCTGGTGGCTGAGTTGGTGTGGGCCACAGGGGTTCTGGTGCGTGTACTAGTGGGGTTGGGAGTAATCGTGGTAGTAGAAGTTGGGGTGACTTCAGGATGGTGTGTGGAGGAAGTGTGTGAATGTAGCGAGGTAGGTGTTTTGTTTGTGCTGAATGAGCTGTGGGCTTGGCTGGTCCCACTGGTGGTCGGCGTTATTGGTGGGGCTGTGTGGGTGGACCCTGTGGCCTTGAGCGTTGTTGGTGGAGGAATGGTACCTGTTGGCGCTGAGTGGTTGGAGGCAGATGTGGCCATCTGTGCGTGGGTAGGGGTGATGACTGTGTGAGTACTTGGAGTCACCAAGGAGGTGGAGAAAGGTGGAACGTGAGTGGGAAGTGTGGTCTCAGGGTGTGATGGGGTTGGATAGGTAGTGGTGGCATGGAAAGATGTTGCAGTGACAGGACCTGTGGAAGGGACGGGACTCCCCGCCGTAGGCGGGGAGTGTGTGGTGTGTGGGGTTTGGGGCGTTGTGTATTCAGTAGTCGTTCTTGTTTGAGTGGTCTCTGTGGCTGTGGGCCTCGTGGGTTGTCCTGGCTGTGGGGTGGTTGGGCCTGTGGTGCTTGCTGGGGTTGGACGTGGGCCTGTCGTCTGGGTGGCCGTTGTTCCTGGCAGTTCCTGATTGGTCGATTTTGCTGTGGGAATTGGTGAAGTTGTCATCGTTATTGTTTTTGTTTCTCTACCCTGACCTCCGCTGGCCCGTCCTTTTGTCTATGTGACCTTTTTCTTGCCTGTCTGTGCCTCTGTTCCTGTGACATGGCCCCTGCTGGGCACTCCAGCCTGCCCCATTGTCTCCATCTCACCTGGACTTGCTCCACATCCTGCCCTGAGCTGCGTGCTGACTCCTTCAGTGCAGCTGCCGCTCTGTGACTGGAACCCAGGCCCTACTTTATCCCCTTCTGGTTCCCTGTGGCCGTGGTGGTGGCCCCCACCCTCCTGCACCTCTGCTCCCCAGGCCTGCCTTTGTGAGTGCCAGGCGGCCTTCCTTGCCTCCAGCTCCAGCCTACACTTTTGGGCTGCCTTCTCGCTTGCCCTCTGGGAAATACGGGGTCTTCTTTATGGCTGAATCACTGAATGTGAGCTGGTGGTGGGACCGGGTGCCTTCGGCAGTGCTGGCATCCCATGGCGCCATGACTTACGCAGCGTGGGGCTTGTCCCTGATGTGGCTGGGGTTGGTAGTGTCATTGTGGTCCGTGTTGTGGACTGAGCTGTGGACGTCGTGGCTGGGCTGGCGGTCGATGCCGTGGCCCTGGTTGTGGCCTGGGTCACTGTGGGTTTTGTGGCTGTCGATCTCAGTGTGGCTGTGGGAGGCAGCCCTGATGTGGCTTGTGGGGTGACGGCCGTGGTTGGTCTAGGTGGTTCTGCAGAGGACAGCCGCCCGGAACATCCCCTTGCTGTGGGCCTGCATTTCGAAGGCTTGTGTCCCAGCCCCCTGCCCTGCTTCTGGGATCCCTGGCCTGCTGTCCGGGACTCAGCCTCCTTGGAGGGGCTCTTCCTCTTGCCTTTGTTAGGTCCTCCCACCGTACTCCTGGCTGTGGTGGCCAGAGCTGGGGCAGTGACCACATGCTTATGGGGCTGCGGCTGCTCCTGCGCCCACCCTTGCTTAGCTGAACGGACTGTCGTCCTGTCCCCTCCAGGGTCCCTGGGCAGCAGATGGGGCCCTGCTCGGTGTGGGGCAGGGGCAGGCTGCCTGGCAGAGGCCCTGCAGGTCCCACACGGTTTCTAGTGACAGCAGCCAGCAGCAAGGAATGCCCCATGCCATGACCAGCTTGTCTTTAAAAGTTTTTCCGAAAAATCCCCAGTTTGGCTCCCAAGCATAGGAAGTTCTACGCTGGGAATCTGCTTAGTGGCAGATGTGAGCCAGGAAGCAGGGCCATCCCTAAGCCCACCCCAGAGGTGTACCTAGGACCTCCTGCAGCTGCCCTCTCCATGGGCTCAGCTGGAGGCTCCTTACCTCCCGAGGAGGCTGTGGGCTTGGAGGATGTGAGCGTGGCTGGAAGGAGGGGTGTCTGGGTGGGGCTGGCAGGGGTGTGATTAGAGCTGGGTGAGGGTCCGGTGGAGCTGAGAAGCCCGATGGTGGTGGAGGTTCCCGTCATGGGCCAGACTTGCGTGGGCCGTGAGCCTGGGTGGGCGGACATGCCATCAGGGCTGCAGGGTACCGGCATATCCTTGGGGAGCACCCTCCCCTCTGCCTGCTTGGCCCTGAAGCCGGGCAGCCCTGCAGGGGCCAATGATGTGCAGTTGAGGGCTGGCCTGTGGCACTCTGAGTGCAGCCTGGCTCCTGGCTGGGCCTCCTGCATGGCGGGGGTCACCTGTTGAGGCCCCACTCTGTGCTCATCCGTGGGTCCAGCCAGGGCCATGGGGACCAGGCTGCTTCCTGGCTGTGGGCTGAGCTCCTCCCCAACTCTGATTGCCAGGTTAGACCTGAGAAGGGCACAGGTACTGCCTGCCCCCTCCCTGCTTCCCACCCGACAGATTTGTCCAGGGAACCGAGGGGAGCCCAGGAAAGGGCCTGCGTCACCTTGGCACCTAGTGTGCGTGCAATTACCTGTGGTGGGCAGCTGCGGCGTGGTGGGTGGCTGCGGCGTGGTGGGCGGCACTGCAAGAAGATGGGGTCAGCTCCCTGTGGTTCTCTAAGCCTCCCCACCCCGTGGGGCCTCTGGGAGCTCCGAGGGCCTGAGTCAGAGATGCTCACCAAGGCTGTGGTGGAGGGGACTGGAGGGGCTGGGAGCCCACCCTCCCCTCTCTCCCTTTCTCCTTCCCAGGATGATTCCCACTCTATACCCCAGGCACCCTGGCAGGCCTGGTGAGGGTAGGGGGAGCTGGGAGCTGGTGGAAGAGGGGATGGGAGGGCCCAGTGGGGTTCAGTGCTGTGTTTTTTTCTCTCTGCTGCCATGGGCTGGAGGCTGCCTGAGTCTCTGGAGACCCAAGGGGCCAGGGTCCTGGAGAGTGGAGTCCCAGAGCTCACGTAAGGGCTCACAGCCCCCGAGGGCTCTCTCCCTTGTTTGTGGGATGTGGACGTGCGTTCTGCCTGCATGCAGGCAGGGGCAGGGTTCTCAGGGCAGCCGACTGGACTTACTGCAGGGCACGCACACCCCCTCCTCGTGGTCGAAGTACTCATCCTGGGAGCAGTTGTAGCAGCCTAGGGTGGAGAACGGCCAGGGTCTGTGTGACTGGTGGCCAGCCAGGCCCACCTGCGTGTTTCCTGCCCTGGCGGCCTCCTTCCTCTCTGCTTTTTTTTTTTTTTTTTTTTGAGACAGAGTCTCGCTCTGTCGCCCAGGCTGGAGTGCAGTGGCACAATCTTCGCTCACTGCAACCTCTGCCTCCTGGATTCACATGATTCTCCTGCCCCAGCCTCCCAGGTAGCTGCGATTGCAGGCATGTGCCATGACGCCCGGCTAATTTTTGTATTTTTAGTAGTGATGGGGCTTCGCCACGTTGGCCAGGCTGGTCTCAAACTCTTGACCTGAGGTGATCTTCCTGCCTCGGCCTCCCAGAGTGCTGGGATTACAGTTTCACCCGCGCACCTTGCTCTAAGCCCCTCCTTTCCTGCCATGCCTTCCTCAGGCCTTGGTCTCTCATACCCTGCTTATCACCCGGGGCTGGGGCTTCGGTGCCATCTTCCAGTCCTCACCTCCCCCTGGACCTCAGACACTGGCCCCTCTTCTGTGCTCCCCGATGCAGGTGCCCTGCATTGCCCTCCTGAGCCCCAACACATCTGTCCTCTGTGTGTCCGGATGGCTCCAGACACCACCCTCCTCCACCACTTGGGCCAGGACCTGTTAATCCCAGGACCCTCTGCATTCAGACCTCTGCCTTGGGGCAGCCACAGGCCTCACAAAGACCCCTCCCTCCCGGCCACACCCCACCCCACAAGTCTGTGTACCCCACACCCCTCTGCAGCCCGGTGCCCCTCACTCGCTCCCTCTGCCCTCTGCAGCCCCGCGCCTCTCACTCGCTCCCTCTGCCCTCTGCAGCCCCGCGCCCCTCACTCGCTCTGCCCTCTGCAGCCCACGCCCCTCACTCGCTCCCTCTGCCCTCTACAGCCCCGCGCCCCTCACTCACTCCCTCTGCCCTCTGCAGCCCTGTGCCCCTCACTCGCTTGCTCTGCCCTCTGCAGCCCCGCGCCCCACTCGCTCCTTCTGCCCTCTACAGCCCCGCGCCCCTCACTCACTCCATCTGCCCTCTACAGCCCCGCACCCCTCCACCGCTCCCTCTGCCCTCTGCAGCCCGCGCCCCTCACTCGCTGGCTCTGCCCGCTGCCCTGGCTTTCTTAAGGGTTCTGGGCACAAGGCTGCTCCTGGCTGCTCCTCTGGACACTTTCCTGGCTCCCCTCCTCACCTTTCCCATCCTCGCCCTCACATCTGCCTCCCACCAAGGGCCCCAACCACCCTGTGTGGCACAGAAGCCTGTGGCTCTCCCACCCCAGCCTGCCTTTCTCCTCTCCATGGTGGGCGCCTCGGCCGACACTGGGTCTGCCTCCTTAAGCACCTCTCCCTGGCTGGGAGGGAAGCTCCAGGTTGCAGGACTGTTTGTTTTGTGTAAGGCCAGGTCCCCTGACCTGGAGCCGGCCTGGAGGACAGAGGTGCTCAGGACCCATCTGCTGAGTGACTGTGTGTGTGAAAGAATGAATGTGCAAATGAATGCATGAATGTGCGTGTGTGTATGAGCGAATGTGCATGAATGAATAAGCAAACATGAATGAATGAATGAATATGTGTGAATGAATGTGCATGGGTGAATGTGCGTGAGTGAATGTTGAATGAATGTGCGTGAATGTGCATGAGTGAATGTGCGTGAGTGAACAAATGTGCGTAAATGAATGCATGAGTGCGTGAATGTGCATGAATGTGGGTGAGTAAATGTGTGAATGAGCATGAATGAATGTGAATGTGTTGAGTGAATGTGCGTGAATGAATGTGAATGAGCGTGAATATGTTGAATGAGTGTGTGTGGGTGAATGAATGGATGAATGGAGTGAATGTGCATGAGTGTGCGTGAATGTGCGTGAGTGAATGTGCGTGAATGAATGTGCATGAATCTGCGGGAATGTGACTGCGTGAATGAGCATGAATGAATGTGTGTGTAGTGACTGCGTGAATGAATGTGTGAATGAATGTGCATGAGTGTGTGTGAGTGGATGAACAAATGTGCGTGAATGAATGAATATGCGTGAATGAATGCATGAATCTGCATGAATGAATGTGAATGTGCGTGAGTGTGTGTGAATGAATGTGTGCAAATTAATGAATGTGTGAATTAATGAGCATGAATGAATGTGTGAATGAATGAATGCGTGTGAATGAATGAATGTGCATGAATGAGTGAATGGGTCCCCCTGTGTATCTGCGTTGCCTCCCGGTCACCTGGCACCTTCGATGTTGCTGCCTGGGACGCTCTGTGGCTGGCTGGGGCAGAGGCAGGGCTGGTAGTGCCACGTGCAGTTGGCCTCCTGTGTGTACTGGTACTCGCCATGGCCGTCCTGCGTGTGCGTGTTGTAGAAGCCGCAGTAGATGGCTGGGAGGAAGGGAGCTGTCAGCTGGTGGGGTTCCTGGCCCTGGCCCTGGCCCTGACCCGGTGGTTCCCCTGGGCATGCATGGAACCTGAGTGTGGGCGGGGAAGGTCTGGGCCCTCTTGGTGAAGCCTCCCCTGGGCAGCTGGGGGCTGCGGGAGGGCCAGGGTGGCCCCGCAGGGCACAGCCCGGCGCCTGTCCAGGGAGAGGGGCCTGTGGGCAAGGGCAGCCCTGCGCCGGCCCTTAGTGGCGCTGGGTGGCAGGGGCTGGAGCAACCTGTGGGAGGGGTGGTCACTCACGGCAGAAGGCCGGGGTCCTCCAGTCCACGCACACACCCTTGTCCAGACAGGCTTGGGCGTAGGCAGCCACGGCATCGCACAGACACTCACAGTCCCCGCCACTGTCACACCCACATGCGTCGCGCACGCAGGCCTCGTAGTAGGGCAGGTGGTATACCTGCAGGGGTGTGTGCCAGTCAGTGTCTGGCTGCCGGGGGATGGCGGGGCATCAGGCTTTGCCACCTGCAGGGCCCTCAGTGTGGTCAGGCCGGAGTGTGGCGGTAAGGGCGCTGGGACTGGGTGAGCGGCACCACGTGGACCTCAGCCCTGACCGCTAGCCACGCTCCCGGAGCCGATGCTGCCACGGAGGCCTGACCCGAGCTCACGCCTTGAGACCCGCCATCGGGACCAAGATGCCGCTGCCGCTAACCACGGCCACTGCAGTCCCACCCAGGGTCTCTGCTCCCCCCACGTCACGCTCACATTCAGCGGGCCAGTGCCATGCTGTTCCCCCGCGGGGTGCCCCCATCCTCTCAGTTCTTACTGCGCCGCGATGGCCGGATCACGCCCTGGGCTGGGAAGTGCACGCCCTGCATCCTGGAGGTCTCCCTGACCACCAGCTCCTGAGCAGGGGGCCCACCAGGCGATGCTGCCCCAGGGGACTCGTGGCACTGTCTGGGGGTGCTATTGGCATCTGGTGGGTGGAGGCCGGGGGGCTGCTTAACAGCCACAGTGCACGAGTCGGCCCCACATCAGGGCCCTGCACTCAGGCAGAGGGTCTGAAACTCTCTGCACCCTGACCTGGCTGGTCTGGGATCCCACGGAGGGAGAACCGTGCCTGGCTTCCCCGCCCCTTCCCCCGCCCCCACCGGACATTTGTGGAGGGGCAGGCGCACAGCCCTCGTGCCCGGTGCCCACCTTGCTGTGGCAGGTGGCAAAGGTCTGGCTGTTGATGACGCTGCACTTGCGCTCGGCCCAGGAGCGCCGGAAGGCATTGAGACTGCAGGGGTCTGTCACGAAGCTCACGTCCCCGCACAGCGGGCTCTCCTTCCACGAGTTCACCAACTCCAGCTCGCTGGATGCCACGTACCTGCTGCGCGTCTCGAAGTCGTCCTTCATGTTCCCGTTGAAGTTGCCACACAAGCCGCAGAGGGGATCCTGCAGACGGTGGCATCAGGCCGGGCCCAGGGGCCGTGCCATCTGTCTCCACCCCTGCATCAGGGAGGGCCTGGGAGGAGGCAGAGGGCGTGCGGTACCTGGGAGGCACGGGCGATCCTGATGAGGATGGTCATGTGCCTGTTCCAGATGAGCGTCAGGTTGTACCTCCCGGGGATGCTGATGTCCACGACAAGGCTCAGCGCACCCGGCGTCACCCCGAGCTGCACGTGGGGCTCCTCCCCGGTGACCGTGTAGTTTCTGTCCGCCAGCACCACGGACAGGCCCTGTGGGGTGGGGTTGGCATAGGACTGCCTGTCTGTCTCCCCCGGCCCCTGGCACAGCCGTGCTGGACCGAGCTCTCAGAGACAGAGCTGCCCAGGTCTGTTAAGGCCATGCACAGGAGCGCCTGCTGAGAGCCAGCTTGGGGCAGAAGGGCCTGGCATGCCTGGAACAGGGCTGAGGGCTGAAGCTCGGGCTTCCTGGAGAGTCCCTCCCCTCTGCCCGGGAGACATTCTGCAGTCCCTGAAACCTTGTGGGGCACAAGCACCCGTGGTCCTGAGCGTCTGGCCAGGGAGGGGCAGCAGGCACCCCTCAAGGAGAGGCAGGCGGGGAGGGCTGCATCTCGGGGCAGGACCTGGAGGCTCCAGTGCGCGGGATCCAGCTGTGTGGCAGGGCCCCCTACCGCCCGTCCTGCCCTGCCAGAGTCTGCCCGGCTGCTCACCCCCAGGAAGATCTTGATGGCCCGTGAGCATGTGACCCCGGAGTTCCCACAGATGACGTTCTCTGTCAGGATCTTGAAGGTGGGCTGTGAGTCGTTGACACCACAGACGTCCTGCAGGGAGAGGGCGCTGAGGAGGAGCCCTGGAGGCCGTGCCTCTGGGTCCCCGGCCCCTGCGGCCTGGCACCCGATGGTTACCGTGGCCAGGATGTACTCGCAGTTGCCGTCGAATACGAAGCGCTGGCCGTCGAAGGTGATGACGTGGCCCTCCCCGTAGAGGGTGCAGGTGGATGGGCAGTGGGTGCCCTGCTGACAGGCCCACCTCCCCCTTGAGCAGGAGCTGTGGAGACAGCAGGTGTGGGTGGTGGGCCTGCGGCCCTCCTGCCATACTGGGTGTGGTCCCTGGAGAGGCCAGACTGCACCTCTGGACGCCCCCGCCTCTGGGACAGCCCCACCCCGGGCAGCCTCCGCCTGCCCCAGATGGCCCCAGGAGCCCAGGGCGTCTGAAGCGAGGCTTTGTCTCACCAGGTCCTGCAGTCAGTGTGGAGCTCAGCTCCTCCAGGGTAGGAGACCCCCGAGAACTCACATGGGCACTCCTCGGGGGGCACACACTGCCCGTCGGCATTCTCGTAGAGGCCCTCGGCGCAGACACAGCCAGGCTCACACTTGGTGGGCACCTGGAGGGAGGCAGGTCAGCAGCTCCTGGGAGGGTGGCCTCAGCCAGCTGCTGCCCAGCCCTGGGCCCCTCTGAGACTGCCCGGCGTGTCTCCCAGGTCCTCTCCCTGAATACAGCCCTGCTCTGTGGCCTTTGTGGGCAGCTGGGCTTACTGCCTTAGCAAAGCTTCCCCCACCTCGTGGAAGGTCCTGGGACCCAGTGCACACGGCTGGGCTGCTGTACCCACTCCCACACATGGGCAGCCCACCCTCCCCGAGCTGGTGCCCACTGTCCTTAGGGAGCCCTGCAGACGAGCCCCCGGGGCCTCCAGCTGCCTGGCCACAGGGCCGCTTCCACCTCGTGGCCAGCCCCAGGCACCCGCTGCAGGGCAGAATGCGGCCAGGTCTCCCGGAGTTCTGTGGAAACCCCCTCATGGTTCAGCTGGGGCCCGGGCATTGTCCCTGCTCCTCGCGCGCCCCCTTACGCAGGCAACACCGGTGGCCAGCATCTGGCATGTGGGGGCACAGGCTGCCCCAAACTTGTTCTCGGAGGACTGGCTGCAGGACTTGAAGGTCTTAGGGGCCTGGCAGGAGGCTGCAGGAAAGAGGGGTGCGCGGTCAGGACACTCAGAGGAAGCCGGGGCCCCTCACAGTCCCAGCCTGCGGCCAGCGCTGCTGTACGTACCCAGGAACATCTGTGGCCGCTGCGGGCAACTCAGCCGCCCGTTGATGCAGTGGCTGCAAGAGAGAGGCTGCGTGAGACCCCGGGACCTGGCAGGGACCCCCCGCCTGGCCCCTGCCCGGTCCCTCACCAGGTGATGCCGTTGATGACAGTGGACTGCTCGGCCAGGATGAACTTGTAACCCTCCAGTATGCACGGGCACTGGGCCTTGCGCACACACTCGCCCTTTTGGTTCAGGTAGGTGCCATCGGGGCAGTTGCAACCGTCCACGGGCACGGCGCTGTGGTGGCACTCGGTGGCACGGTCCGACAGCGACAGGCAGGTGCGCTCACAGGCTTGGCTGTTGTAGCTGAAGGTGGTGTTACCCGTGCAGGGGATGGCTGTGGGGGACCCGGGCATCAGACTCTCCGGGAGGGGGCGGCCGGGAGGGCAATCTCGGGTTCCCCTGCCTGCCGGGCACTGCAGAGCCTCAGAGCTTGGGGTCCCAGGACACCCCCTCGTGAGCCCAGCCTGCCGTGACCCCGCTTAAGCCCCGTCGGGCACTCACTGCAGTTGTCCACACTGCTTCTCCAGCCCCAGAGCAGGACGCCCCGCAAGGAGCAGGCGTGTACGTAGTCGCCCAGGGCGGCACAGATGTGGGGAAAGGTCTCCTCGTAGTTGCAGGCCTGGTACACGCACCTCTGCGGGCAGAGAGCCAGCATGGGCTGGTGGCAGGCACCCTGCCCTGGGGACATGGGGGTCCCAAACCTATGCCCTTGGGTGCCTGAGACCTTGTCAGCCACCACAGCCTCCCCTGCAGCCCTCCCAAGACGCCCTCGGGCCCTCACCTTGTAGAAGGGTGCAGGGTTCACTGTGGCGTGGCACCTCTCGAACACCGTGCCTGTCCTCAGCAGCATGGAGCAGTGGGTCTCTGCACACACCTCTGGGGATGACAGGCCCGGGCGTGAGTCCCGGCCCCTCCCATTCCAGCTACGGCTCCTCCCAGGGACCCCCCACCCTGGCAGCTGGGCCTGTGGTCCAGTCCAGGGGTCTGTCAGAACTGTGGGCGCTGGGGGGGCAGCCAGGGGAGTGGGGGGCCGGACACTCACTGTTGAGCTGGCTCATGGAGCAGGGGTCAGTCTCACGCTCCAGAGCGGCCGGACAGTTCCCCGCCCGCCAGGAGTCCACAAACAGCGAGGCGGTGCCCTCGGCGATACCCATGCTAGTGGTGAAGTCATCCGTTGTGTCCCCGTTGAAGTTGCCGCAGAGCCCTGAGCCGGCGGGGCGTGAGCTCGACTTGAACCCATCCCTCCTGCACCCATTCCTGCCCACACGCCCTGGAGCTCCCGTCCTTCCTCTAACAGCACCCTGGGTGAGAGGCTGCGTGGGCCACACGTGCCTGTTACCCCTGGGGGCTCCCCGGACACAGAGGGTTGTGTGAACCTCTCTTGGACCTTTCTCCTCCCCTGGTCATGGCCAGACCCTGTAGGGATGAGGCAACAGGGCCACCTGGAGAGGCAGGGACTCACCTCTGGTCTGACCTCTGAACTGGGGCCCAACAGTGACATAGGCCTGGAAGATGGGGCGCAGCTGGACCACGAGCTCCAGCCCGAAGCTGGTGGCCATCTGGAGGTGGGTGGACGTCTGCCTGAAGACCGTGATGTTGCCTGCAGGACGCAGTGCTCAGTGGGCCGTCTGGGCTCCCTCCCCACCCACTGCAGCCCGCCCCGAAGGCACAACTCTGGGGGGCCACAGACTGGGCCAGGACGTACGAGTCTTGTATGGCAGCCACTTGGCTTCTCCGTTGTTGGTGACCACCTCGTCCTGAGAGATCACAATTTTGTCCTGGAGAGAGGGTGGCCTGAGTCAGGGTGCAGGCACCAGGGAGCGGAGCCCTGCTGGCAGGGATGGGCGCAGGAAAGGCCTTACCTGCCTGGAGAGGTAGACCACAGCCACCAGGGAGGTCTCGGAGTGTGAGACGCCGGACTTGTCGTACACAGCCATGAGGGCACCGTCCTCGGGAAGCTGGGGGCTCTGCGAGGGGGCGGGGCTCAGACACGGGTGGGGTCACCGGGAGCGCCCCTCCCCACGGGCCACAGGGCTCGTCCTACCTGGAGGAGGATGTAGGTGCAGGTGCCGTGGAAGCGGTAGGGCCTGGCGTCAAATGTGGTAACAAAGGAGCCACCTTCCAGGGAGCAGTGTCCGGGGCACGGCCGCTCCGTGCACACCCAGCGGCCCAGGGTGCACCGGCTGTGGGTGGGCGTGGGGGTAGCGGCATGGTGGGCAGGGCCGCTGGAGCCAGACAGCACACCCCTGCCTGCCCTAGGCCAGTGGAACCCCTGCCGGCCGGCCAGAGCCCCCTCCGGCGCCTCACTCACCAGGTTTGGCAGGCAGCTATTGTGACCTCCCCGGGGGCATACATGGCGCCGTGGAGCACACAGGGGCACTGGGTGACGGGCACGCAGGTGTGGTTATTGGAGAGGTCATTCAGGACCGTACCTGCAGGAGAGGGTCTTCTTGGGGCTTGGGTGGGACTGACTGCCTCCCACTCTCCCCTCCCTGGCTCCAGGGAGACGCCCCCTCCAGCCTGGCTCCAGGGAGACGCCCCCTCCAGCCTGGCTCCAGGGAGACGCCCCTCCAGCCTGGCTCCAGGGAGACGCCCCCTCTAGCCTGGGCCATGACCTCTCTCCAGCTGCACTTGCATTCGCAACTCTATGTCAGGCCCTGGGCGTGCACAGCCCCTCGTGCCAATGTGCCCGGCCCAGGTTCCTGGTGAGTGGTGGCCTCCAGCAGGCAGGGACGTGTAACTGTCCCTTGGGCCCGGCTCAAACCCTGCCTTCCCTCGGCAGCTCCTAGACCGCAGTGAGCAGCCCTCACCGCCCGTGGGTTTGCAGGGGTGGCCGTGGCTGGGGGACCTGCAGGCTGTAAGCGTCCAGGCGGGAAAAGCCTGTCCCAGGGCAAGAGGCGCCAGAGCTGGGACTCAGGCAGCAGAATGTTGGGGTGACCTGGGTCGGGGTGGGTGGGGTCTGACGTCCCCTTGTCTCTGGGTTCTCTCTAGGGGTCCCGGGGAGAGAGAGTGCCTGCGACTGCCCTCACCTTCCGGGCAGAAGCACCCGAAGGTGCAGGAGCTGGAGCAGCTGTGCTGCGGGTTGGAGCAGGTCTTCACGCAGGCCGAGCCGCACTCCTGGTACACCTGGTTGGCCGGGCACTGACCCACGGCTGTGGGCACACGCGGCTCCGGTGAGAGGGTCCCACCCCCCCCACCCCTCCCTGCCCCACCCCAGCTTGATGGAGGACTTAGCCCAGCCCTTCCTCCATCTAGAAGCAGCAGCGAGGATCTCCTGTCTCTCAGACCAGGAGGGATGCAGGCGTCACGTCAGGCAGTCCAGGGGCTGGGAGAGCTGGGTCTGGAGCCCTCGGCCTTCCTGCCCCTCCCTCTCCCTTCCCTGGACTCACAGCACAGGCCGGGGCTCCGCCAGCGGCGGACCGGCTGGCCCACCATGCTGCACTGGCGGGAGTACTCCGACAGGGTGGCACAACTGCTGTTCTGTGGGCCTGGCTGGGGGGCTGCGGCCACGTCCGCCTGGCAGCTTAGCACGAAGGGCTCCTTGGACACGCTGCACTCAGGGGCCACCAGGGTCAGCAGCTGGGTGCAGATCCGGGCCTGGGGGGGCCACTCAGGGTCATGGGGGCAAAGGCCACACCCCATGCCACCACGACTGGGGAGGTCGGGCAGGGCGTCTGTGATGCGGCTGCTTGTGGGGGCCCTTGGTGGTCTCGGCGACCCTGTCAGACCTGGGGTCAGCCCCACCTGGAGCCCCCTTGCTTACGTGCTGGGCCTGCCGGACGTGGGTGCTGGGGATGTCCTGGAAGGTGCAGATCTCGCCGGGGTCGTCCAGCTTCTGGAGGGCAGCAAACTTGTGGGGTTCCAGGAACTTGCCTGGGGTGCAGAATGGGGGTCAGCACCGTGGGGGCTGGGCCTCAGAGGCCCCCCTGCCCTGCCCCCCACCTAGAGGCCCCCCCAGAGGCCCCCCAGCCCTGCCCCCACCTACCCTCCTCACTGACAAACTCGTTGGTCACCTTCCCGTCAAAGTTCCCGCAGAGCCCGCACATCTGACCCATGTACTTCCGCTCCACCAGAACCTGCGGGAGACGGCTCTGCTGGGGGCCCGGGGGCCAGGGGCCCCCTCATCTGCTGTGGAGGGCTCTCAGTTCCTGCTCCTGGACCCAGAGCCCCCACCATCCCCCCACCTGCTCATCTGCCTCTTCTTATGGGAGGCTAATTTTCCAGTGGAGAAGCCGAGTCACCCACAAAACCCAGTCCTGGCTCATGTTGCTGGTCAGGGGTCAGCACTGCTTGGCACGAAGGGCCTGGCTGCATGGCAGCCTGAGGGCTGGCTGGGACCCCCAAGGAGGGCAGCCCCTCCCAAGTCCCACCTGCCCCCCCGTGCTGCGGGTCTCCAGGCCCACCCTGGCCCTTCTCTCCTCACCATGAGGTGGCTGTCAGGACCCCACACGACTTCCAGCTCCAGCTCCAGCTGCTTGGCCACCAGCCGCACGCTCTGGCCGAAGGGTGTGATCTGGAGTCCATTGCTGGTATAGGGCAGGCTGATGACCCTGTGGGGCAAGGGAAGTCGGTGGTCGATCCTCAGTCCTCCGGCCCCCGAGCCCCCGGGCCCCGGCCCACCTGACCTACCCGATGTCCTTGACTGAGATGATGGCTTCGCTCACAGTGACGACGGAGGCCCCCAGCTCCACGATGATCCGCGAGATGCTCCCGTCTGGGCCTCGCCGCAGCTGGACACTGAAGGTGGGGAAGGCGTCCTTGCAGGTGGCCGCGAAGATGTAGTTGCACGTCCCCGAGAAGTCGTACACGTGGTGGTCGAAGGTGGAGAAGTGACCAGCCCCCCACGTGGAGCACTGGCCTTTGTCCGGGGCTACAGAGAGAGCAGTGCTCACACAGCCCTGTGTCCCCACCATCCTGGCCAGGCAGGGCTGGGGCAGGCAGAGAGGTCACTCGTCTCCCTGGGCCAGGGTTTTTGAGTTGGGGCCAGGCTGTGGAAACCCCAGACATCCGATGAACCTGAGTGCTATGGTATATGCCTGGCCAGGAGTCAGCACCGCTGTGGGCATGTGCACACACGTGTGTGTGGGTACACGTATGTGTGTTGTGTGTGTGCACGTGTGTGCACGTATGTGCGTGTCTCGGGTGTGTGCATACGTGTCAGGTGTGTCCATGTGTGCATTGTGGGTGTGTGTGTGTTGGAGGGCTGTGTAGGCGTGTGAGATATACACCTGCATGTGTGTTGGGTGTGTGTGATTGTGTTGCATGCACATGTGTGTTTGTGTGAGCTGGGCATGTGTGTCGAGTGCATGTGTGTGCATTCGGGGTGTGTATGTGTGTGTTGGGTGCGTGTCTCAGGTGTGTAGGGTGTGTACATAGGGTGCATGTGTGTGTAGGGTGTGTGTGTGTTGGGTGCGTGCACATGTGTAAGTCGTGCGTGTTGTAAGTGTGCATGTTTGCATGTCTGGGATGTGTGTGCATGGGTGTTGGGTGTGTGTGCATGTGTTTGTCAGGTGTGTTTGTGTGTAGGTTGTGTGTGTTGGGTGTGTGTGCATGTGTGTTGGGTTGTGTGTCTGTGTAGAGTGTTGGGTGTGTGTGTGACGTGTGCTCATGCATGTGTCATGTACATGTGTATGCGTGTGTCAGGTGTGTGTGCATGTGTATATTGGGTATGTGTGTGTGTTGGGTGTATGTGCATGTGTGTTCATGTTGGTGCATATATGTGTGTTGGATGTGTGTGTCTTGGGGGTGACCTGGGCTCCGGGCCCCTCTCTCCTGCACACCGGGCCTGGGTGGTCTGGGCGGCAGGATCAGTGGCCGCTGTGTTCTTACCTGTCTGTGGAGAGTCCTTCAGCCTCTGGAGGCCTGGGCTGGTGTAGGAGGTGTTAGCCAGACCTGTGTGGACGGGACCCGCAGTCGGTGTGGGGCTACCCCGTCGTCCCTGAGGGCGCCGCTCACCTCTGCTCAGGGCTGCTCCGCCCGTTTCCCTGCACACACTCGGCGTGCGAGAAGTGTCCATGGCCCGTGGGGCTCGAGGCCTCAACAGCAAGCCAAGCGCTTGGCCTCCCATGCTGTCCTTCACGAGCCCCAGCTTCCTTCCCTGCTCTCGTTCACTCCCTCGTTTGTCCACTCAGTCCCAGTTCAGCCGTCAGCCCCTCGGGGTTCGGCAGATGGCGGGCACCCTGTGTGCAGGGTACTCATCCCTGGGGCTTCTGGGTGGGGCTAGGAGGGGCTGGTGCGGGTGGCAGGGGCTTGGCGGCGGAGCCAACAAAGTGGGCTGTGCCCGCCTCCCCAGCTTGGCCGCCTGGTTTCCCTGAGGGGTCTGCGCCAAGGCCCCACAGCCGGTTCTCCCTGCTCTCGGTGGCTCCGGGGCTCTAAACATGGCCGCTTTCCTGCACGTCAGCCTTGAGACAGCCTTGATGTCAGGCCTGGCACTGAGGCCACTGTTGTCAGAGAAACATCCAGATAGCCCAGTCACGGTGACTCCAGGGCAGGGCAGCGGGGGACGTCCCACCCTGACTCCCAGAGGCTGGGGTGGGGCCAACACCCCCCACGTCCCACCCCCTGTACCCAGAGGGAGACTTTTCCCACCTCTGGGTAACTCCCCGGACCCTGCCTCCGAGACTATGACCCTTCCTGTGGCTCCCACGAGCCCCCGATGTCTGAGTGGTGGTGCGGCACCTGAGCAGGACCCGTGACCTCTCCAGGCCCTTCTTGGGGCCGGGACCCTCCTTGCCCCTGCCCATTGGTTAGCAGGGCACTCACAGCACCTCCTTCCAGATGTAGCTCAGAGATCCCATTCCTGCCACTCCTCACCTGTGCTCTCACCCCAGGCTCTGCCCACTTTCTGGGACTTACTTGATGCTGCCCCCATTACCGCTGGACACCTGTGTCTCCGGTGACGCAGGGGCAGGGGCCTGTCAGCTGGGAGATGGTGTTAACCGCGGTCCAGGGAGGAGCCAGGCTGCCTGCCCCTTGGCCGCCTGGGTGAGTCCTGTCTGGCACAGGCAGGAGGTTGGGTATTTGAGTGACTGGATTTAAGAAGAATGCCAACCTTGGCTATGTGGGACACATATTTGGCTGTGGTCCCCTTTGGCCTTGAGATCGTTTTCTGATGGGTTGCACCTGGCTTATCCCCAGTGTAAGCTGAGTTTACTCCAGACTGGTGTGGGGGTGGCTCATGCTGGGCCCTGAGCCTGGCGAGCACCTACCCCCTCACTCATCCCCCTCCTGGGGGTCCCAGTAGGTGTCATGGTCCTCAGCCCCCCGCCATTCCTTCCAGGGATGATCCACAGGGCTCAGAGCACCTGCTGCAGGAGTGCGCAGCACACCGAACCCTCAGCCATGGAACTCAGTGGTTCCTGGGATGGGGCCCTCGCTGGCCTCTGGTGGGGGAGGGGTGGGAGAGCTCTGAGCGGGAGGAGCAGTTGGCTGCCTGCCCCTGGGCCAGCACCTCTGGAGGCTGCAGAGCTGTGACCGGTCTCCCCTGGGCAATGCCCCCTGCAACTCAGTTTCTCCACCTTTCCGATGGGGGGTGGCACTTGGGGGCCGTCCCCGCTGTAGCACAGACACCTCGGGCCTGTGTTTCGGTGCCCTCAGCCCTGCCAGGCTGGCTTCACTGCCCCGGGTGGGTGCCTCATTGCTGCACCCCCTGCGCCCCCCGCCGCCCTCGCCCTGCCCCACCCGCAGGAGGTTCCCCGAGTCCACTGGCTCCAAGTCGGCTGCCTCCAGCTCTGAAGTCCAGCGGGAGACTCCTGCGTTCCTGCCCAGACTGGCTGTGCTTCCCCTCGGCTGATCCCTTGGCCAGGCGCATGGGCATCTGGGCGGGTTGGTCCGCCACCCCCGGCCTCTCAGCCCCTGGACGAGCACGAGGCGGCAGGTGCGCACTGTTCCTTCTGCACGCTTGGCGGCCGCCCACCCCTGCCTCCCGGCCCACCGCGGCCCAGGCCTGCAGCCCGTCTGTCCGACCCCACACTCTGCTGGCTGAGGCCCCTCCCATGTTGGCAGAGATGGCGCTCAGAGATTATTTGCTGGGGTGACGGGTGGACACCCCCACTTGGCCCTCCACCCTCTGCACTGCCCACAGCCCAGACCTCCAGCCTCTCTGGGCCTCACCACACCTCCCTCCCTGGCTCCAGGGTGGTGGCCCGAGGGACTAGGGGTCGCACTCTGCTGCAAGTTTAGCCCCACTTCCTGGCACTTGTCCCCAAGCTGTGCCAGGTGTGCAGGTAGGGGCTGGGGTCCCAAGCAGAGGGCACCGCTGGGAGGGCTCAGAGACCCCCACATCTCCCACGGTTGAAGGGTGGTGCCCGGCGTGGTAGGGAGCGGGCTCAGAGACCCCCATATCTCCTACAGTTGAAGGGTGGTGCCCGGCGTGGTGGGGAGCGAGCTCAGAGACCCCCACATCTCCCACGGTTGAAGGGTGGTGCCCGGCGTGGTGGGGAAGGGGCTTCAAAGGAGAGAAGGGGTGGGGTGGGCTTGGGTCGCCCTACAGTGGGACACCCCTGGGGGGGTCCCACTGTGCTCTGAGCCCGAGGCGCCCAGGTTGGCAGCAGCTCCGAGGGCGAGCTCTGTCACGCCAGCGTCCACCCCAGGGGGCTCCCGGCTGTGGAGGAGGGTCGGGCCAGCTTGGAGAGGAAGGAGGAGCACGGAACACAGAGGCCCTTGGGCTGGTGCCTTGGTCGGCAAGAGGGGTCTCCCCAGGTCTCAGGCTGCGGCCACAGAGGGACCCCTTGGGGCTGGCTCCTTCTGGGGGCCTGGGGAGGGACTGATGGTCACCTGCAGCAGCCGCAGGGCAGGCGGTTGGCAGAGGATCCAGGATGTCAGTCCCTCCTGGATCCTGCCCGAGCTGGGTAGGGGAGCGCGGGGGAGAGGGCAGGCTGCCTGCGGCGGTTCTGAGCCCAGGATGGCCGTACACCTTCCCCCCTCTTCCCCCCACGGCGGCCACACCAGGGGAGGCAGCGTCCCCCACTTCTGTAGACTAGGAAACGAGGCCCAGGGCCCAGCAGAGACTGTGCCTCTGTCCCCCACACTCCAGAGACCTCTCAGGACTCAGGACCCCACTCGGGGAGGGAGAGCGCCAGGGCTGGGCACCAGCACACCTGCCCACTGTTCCCGCGGGAGTGCCGGACCCCACTCCAGCTGAGCGTCCTCCCCCGCTGGCTGCTGTGCCAGCTCACAGGAGGGCGTCCCTGCCCAGGCCCCATGGGGTCCCTGACCCCAATTGGCAGAGCCCAGCACCGCGGCTGCTGGGGGGACCCGGGCCTGGCAGCGGGGGCTGGTCACGGAGCCGAGCTGGGGCCTCCCGTCCATCAGCGTCCATGTGGGCCAGCCGAGTTGTCGAGGCGAGAAGGCCCAGAGACCCCCGCACACAGGGCCCCTCTGAGGGCACCGCAGTGTCTGGCGCCCCTCGACCTCACTCACCAGCGCTGAGCAGGGCTCCGCAGCAGGACAGCAGCAGCCACCGCTGGACCATGGTGCACAGTGGAGAGGAGCTCGCGCTGGGCCCGGCAGGCCTGCTGCTGCCATCCATGCGGCTCCAACGGCCGGTCCTGGGTGCCTTATATAGGCTGGCGGGCCCTCCCCCGCCGCACCTGCCTGCGCCCCGCGGTCCAGCCCCTTAATCACCACTGCCGGCGGGCGCCGCGGTGGCCAAACAGGATCTGGGCCTGCTTTATCAGGACTCGGCTTTCTTTGGAAAATCCTGCAGGCAGCGGCCCCATTATCACCCATTCCCAGCGGGGGGCTGACGCACGCACGCCCCCAAAGGTCCTGCAAACACCCCCTGCATGGGGGCCATCCTGGCCCGGGCCCTCCCCGCTGCTGGGTCAACGTGGCACTGTCAGCCACACGCCTGGTGGCCGGGATGGACCTGTTGGGGGAGGTCGGGGGCCCTGGGGCACCTGCTCTGCCCCTTCCGGGGAGCCCAGTGCTGACCCAGCTTGGGGGGAACCCTGCTGCACCTGAATCCCAGGACCCCCTGAGGGGCACTGGGCCCACCCCTCACCCTGAATCCCAGCACCCCCTGAAGGGCCCTGGGCCCACCCCTGAGTTCCCTGCCCAACAGGAAAGATCACCCAGCGGGAGGGACCTTGCCAGGGGGTGTTGGGGAGCAGGGGCTCCGCCGTCTGGGACAGGCAGCGGCCTTGGGGCTTAGACAGGCTGCCCTGGAGGCCTGAGGAGCTACCGTGTCTCTGCAGCCCGCCAGGTCCCAGGCTTGCTCCTGAAGACCCCTCCACAGCTGTTTTCTTCCCCCTTCGAGCGCTGTTGGCAGCCATCTTGAGGACAGGAACTCGGGGGCTGCTCGTCTGCTGGGGCATCTCTGCGGGGCTGTGGGGTCGCCGGTATGCTCCTGACCCCTTCAGGCAGAGGGGCAGGGACTGGGATGACCAGGGGGCCTTGCCTGTGGAGGCACGTGCCACGTCTGAGGGGCCGGGGACAGGGCAAGGTCTGGTGACATCGGGGTGGTGCCGGTGGCTGGCGGGGGGGAGGGAGGTGGAGGTCTGAGTGGTCACCAGGATTGCCCCAGCTTCGTTTGGCAGCCCAGGGACCCCTCCCAAAGGGGATTTTGGTCCCCGACTCCGACAGGAGCCCTCGCTGGCCTCGGGGCTGCTCCCACCACACGTCAGCATCCCGGCCTGAGCCAGGAGGGACTCCGAGGCCGCCTGGTCTCCCTGGGCCGGGCTCCCCACATGGGGCTGCACCCCCATCCCACAGGTGAGCTGAGCCTGCTGGCTGGGACCCGGGCCTGCCACCTCTGTCCCACCTGTGCCCACACGCCCGGGAGCTGCCCCACCTGCCCCCGGAAGAGGCCCCAGGGCCACGCGTGCCATACACAGTAGGTGTCGCGTGTTTCACTTAAATCAGCTTCAGTTTTGTGGAACGTTGCTTGAAGTTACAATAAGTTGCTTTTGTAGGAAATTGCAGTACGTGTGCTGCCCCCCACCAGGAGCCCCACACCAGGCATTCTGGGTGTTCTACTCTCATCTGTTCTTCTTTTTAATTTTTCGGTTTTGTAGGGACGAGGTCTCACTTTGTTGTCCAGGCTGGCCTTGAACTCCCGGACTCAAGAGATCCTCCTGCCTCAGCCTCCCAGAGTGCTGAGATGACAGGCGTGAGCCACCGTGTCCAGCCTTGGCTGTCCCTTCTTAACACGCTCAGTGGTCCCTGTGGTTCAGGTGAGAAGCTGAGGCACAGGAGTGAGGCCCTTGCCCTGTCATGCTGAGAGGTTGGATGGACGCAGGGCTCACAGCTGGCCCTCGTTCTGAGCTGGGGCCTCTCAGCCCGGGCTCGAGGTGGGGACGATGAGGGGCAGAGATCTTAGGGCCTCCTTCCCTGGGTGGGTCACTGCACCAGGGCAGCTGGTGCCAAAAGGGACCTCATGGGCAGGTGTCATGGCTGGGAGCCCTGTGGCCATGTCAGCCCGGCGGTTGTGCTTGTCTGACCACCTGTCTGGGCTTGTGAGAACCGAGCTCAGGTTCTCAGGAGGGATCCTATGAAGCTTTGAATGTAGGGGCAGGGGTGGGTTGGGGGTGAGAGCCAGTGGACACTGGTTCCCCGGCCAGGCCTGTAGGGCTTCGGGTCCTGGCCACTGAGGCTTCCATTTCCCAGCTGTAAAGTGGCAGAGACCCCTGACCTTGAAGGTTATGGCTGTGGCGTTCAGCATGTGAGTCCCCAGCGTCCTCTAGAATTGGGGGATCCCTGCAACTTGCACAGGTGTGGGGCGGGTGGGGGCTGGATACCACCAGCCTGCAATGGGGCTGCCCACTGGGCCTGTGGTGAAGATGCCCGCTTGCAGGTGTGTGGTGATTGTGTATGTGTGTGTGCGCATATGCATATGTGTGCGTGCACGTGTACCTGTGTGTGCGTGTGTATGTGTGTGCCTGTGTGCACGTGAGTGCCTGCCTGTGTGTGTGCATGTGTGCCTGTGTGTGCACGTGTGTGCATGTGTGTGCGTGTGTGTGCACGTGCCTGTGTGTGCCTATGTGGGTGCCTGTGCCTGTGTGCCTGTGAGTGCGTGTGTTTGCGTGTGTGTGCATGTGTGTGCACGTGTACCTGTGTGTGCCTGTGTGTGTGCATGTGTGTGTATAGGTTGAATTTCTGGTGAAAGCTGTGCATCCCAGAATTTATTGTCCCCATGATCTCAGGGCCACTCGAGTGTGTAGAAGGCCCTGGCCCCGAGCCCTGGTGGGGGCTCCATCGTGGCACCATGGGGCCTCCGGAGCCTGGGGGTCTCTCTCTCTCAATGCACTCGCTTGGTGGCAAATGGCTGGGAGCGGTGTTTCTGTCCTGGCCGGGGAGCGCTTGAATGCACTGAGCAGTGGGGGAGATAAGCGTGTGAGGTGTTGTTCCTGGAGCAACCTGGTGATAGGAGCCATGTCCTGTGGGCCTGGCTGGAGAACAGGGCCTGAGGACTGGACAAGTGGGTGATTGTCCCCTCTCATGCCCAGCGCTGGCCCCGCCCTCTATGTCCGTCTAAGTGGCCTGGCCCTGAACAGCGGTCACTCCAGGCCTGGTGTGGCTGTGAAGCGGGAGTCAGGGTGGGCCCCGGGCCCCAGCTTCCCGGCTGAACCGTTAGGGTGGGCGCTGGCTCCTAGACCCGCAGGGCTCCCTGGACAGGTGTGAGCAGACCTTCACTTGGACTTGAGGCCTTCACCCCTGCAGGTGTCTCCAGAAGGCTCTGGAACTGACTCGGGCCTGGCTCCCCTCACAGGAGGCTGAGGCCCTGGGTCTGCTGGGACTTGTGTTCACAGAGGCGCTGGGATGGACCTGCTGGTGGCCCCCTGCCCCTCGGCCAGCCCCTTCCCTGCCCCTCGGCCAGCCCCTTCCCTGCCCCTTGGCCAGCCCCTTCCCTGCCCCTGCCCCGCTGGGCCCTGTGGTCAGGTGTGACGTCCCCTGGAGGAGAACAGGTGGGGCTTCACCCCCTGAGGCTTGGCAGCTGGTCCCCATCAGATCAAAGGATTGAAAACTGTGGGTTTGGGGAGTGTTTGGGAAAGATTTCAACCCCGGGAGTGGGAATGCACCCGGGCTTGGATCGCTGCCATTCCCCATCCGAGGCGCGGGCCCAGTGCTGGCCGGCAGAGCTCAATATGGCCAGCCAGTGCCCAGGTGCATGCCCGAGGGGGCGCGTCACGGCTTCCTGTTGATCCGGATGCCCGATGTCTTGGGAGGCACTGACCCTGTGCCAGGTCCTGGGGCCCATTGCTTGGGGAGGCGGTGGGAACCTGGAGACCCTGGGGACAGAGTGGCTGGATGCAAGGTCCCCCAAGGGGCAGGGGGATGGCAGGGAAGGGGCGTCAGGCCTGGGGGAGGTCACCTGCCCCACCCTCCCTCCAAGGCCCTTGTGTGGCTGGGTGGGGCTGGCCCTGGGTCCTCTCCCTCTCCCCCGTCCCTGAGCGTCACTGGTGACCTCCCCATGGACTTGTCCAGCTTGCCAGTACCCTGCGGTTTTGCCTCCTGAGTATGTTGAAACGTTCCTAGTCCAGCTCTTGCCTGCAGCCACCCCCATCGAATCTGGCCTGCCGTGGCCCCCGCCCTGCAGCCCCGAGTGTGTGGTACCCCCTCATTCTCCCTAGCACCTCAGAGGAGGCCCTGCCTGGCTCTGACACTCCCTGACCTCTGGCCTCTATCCCCCTCCCTGGACAACTCCTGCTTCTCCACCAGCCCTGCAGACCCCTCTGACCCCAGCTGCTGGGGTCCACCCTGCCGGAGGTAGAAACAGAGCCAGCTGCATGCCACAGGTGAGGGCCCTCCCCAAGGCCTGGGGAGGGGCAGCGTGACCCCGGAAGGGCAGCTGCAAGGGCCGGGCAGTGCAGCTCACCCGGGCGACCACCAGCCCACCCTCAATGAGACCCCACAGCCCCTGTCCAGTGATGTTCAGAGGGCTAGGGCTCCCCGGGCACCCACTGGTCTGCACTTTCAGACTTGACTGCTTGGTGCCTGGGCTGGGATTTGGGGGCACTGCCCTTCCCCCGTATCCCTGGGACCCCCTTTGGGAGCCGGACACTCAGGTGCGCACAGCCCCCACCCCCAGCCCAGCCCCAGCCCTGTGCTGTCCGCTGCCCACAGCCCACTGTGTGGCCTTGAGTGGACTGAAGGTCTCGTCTGGCTGCGGGAGGGGCCCTGGTAGCTGCTGGGCCTGGAGGTGGCTGGGATGGTGGGCTGGCCCGCCTGTCCGGGGTGGGTAGAGGAGTAGCTAGCAGGAACCACTGCCTGAGGCTGGGCTCAGCCCAGGCTGGTAGCCTCATGTTCCAGAAAGGGCTGGGGAGCTCTCCACCTGCCCTCCTCCAGAGAGGGGCCCTTGTCCTTTTTGTCTACTTATGCCCCGTGCAGGAAGCAGGTCAGGGTAGGCTGGGGCCCTCAGGAGCGGGCACGTTTCAGCCTGGGGTGGGGGCAGGATACGGGCTGCCGGGGCCATTGAGGCAGCAGCACAGGAGGGGTCCTGGCCAGGCCACTCCTCCCTCCAGGTGGGAGCTTAGCTGGGGCGGGACCCCCACCTCCCCGGGTGAGCATTGCCGGCCGGTAGCCTTGGGCAGGCACCCAGGAGAGGCCCCTGGCCTGAACTCCTCTCACACCTGACTCTGGTACCTCTGAGCCCCAGGGTAGGTGGCTGAGTCATCTCCCCAGCTGGCACCCCAAATACCTTCTCCCCTTTTCCCATCCCATGGGAGGTGGCTGTGTGCCACAGGTGAGGGTGCAGAGCCCCCAGCTGCTCCCTGCCCTGAGAGTTTCGCCCCCTGGCATGGGGCCCTGGGCAGACCCTCTCAGGACAGAGCCTTCCTTGCAGGCCAGCCCTGCCAGGCCCTCACAGTGGGGGTAGCTGTGCCCCACCAGCCCCGAGGGGAAGACCAGGATCCTGAGGGCTGGGGTTCACCTCCGATGTCCTGGGGGAGATGTCCATGCGTTGCCAACTCCAGGCCTGAACCCAAGGCGCCCTCATCTGAGCACAGGGAGAGGCTGCCGGGACGGCTGGGTGTCTGGCTGACTGCCCCGCCCGGGCTCTGGAGCTGATAACCAGCGGATGCGGAGTGAAATGCAAACAGATAAGGCTGTTGGGAACTAGGCCCCCTGGACTGCTCCGGGCGGGCAGCCGTGGGGCACCACACTGCCCAGGGCCAGGGGTTATTGGGCCGCCTTTTGCCCTCAGTGAGCGCAGCTGGATGGGGAGTTAGCAAGGGCTTGCTCTCCGAGGGTGGCTGGTGAGGGGGCTTTGAGGAGGGTGGGGGGACCCTGGGCTGCCGACTCAGACTCTGGAGGCTGCTGGTCAAGTGGGGGTGGAGGTCAAGCTGGAGCTGAGGCTCATGAGACCACCTCTCTCCCAGGAATCCTCATCCCTCTCATGGGGGTGACATTTAGGACTCCCTTTGGGGAGCCCGGCAGGGCCCCAAAAGCACAAGTCAAATGGCCTCTGAGGGCAGCTGCAGCTCACAGCAAGGGGGCCCTGGGCAGCCCAGGGTGAGATGAAGGGCTTCCAGGGCTCCAGGTGAAGAGCAGGACTGGGTGGGGGGTGGGGCCAGGTCACCAGGAGGTGTCGGAGACCAGGCTGGAAGGTGACCTGGCCTAGAGTAAGCTGGGAGAGGTGGGTAAACTGAGGACCAGAGCTGGGGGTGGGGAAGGGACCCTGAGCCAGCCTGGGGGGCGGTGGTGCTGTGTGCTGGCGTGGAGTCTGGGCAGGTGCCCCGGCAGAGGTGCCTCTGCCAGCAATGGCGTTGGGGCCACAGGTCCTGCAGAGAATTTGAAGAATTTGTTTTTTTCCCCAGAAAAGCTCCAGGTATTGCAGCCAGACCTGAGTCTCTCTCAGGAATCACATCCAGGGCCCATTCCAGGCAGTTGGACGTGCAGTGGGGGCAGCCACTGAGGCCCAGGCAAGAAGGGGTGACGGGGCAGGTCCTGGTCCAGAGGGTTGTGGGGGATGCTGGCATGGCTGGCATGGCTGGCATGGCCTGCAGAGAGTCGAGGAGCGCCCAGGCTCACCACAGCTGGTTCTTCGGGTGTTGTTCAGGGGAAACACAGTGGAGGCCTGACGGGAACAGGTGGGTTTCCCGGCCACTCACACCAGGTGCCGGCCCAAGGGAGCCTTGGGCCTGATCTGCTGCCCAGCGGCCGTGAGTGCTGTGTGGCCCGTGGGAGGCCCCGTGCATATGGCCTGCAGAGTCAGGTGTGGGGGGCCCAGAACACGTAGGCCTGGCAGAAGCCCAGGTGGCACAGACGTGGCCCTACAGCCGGGCTCGGGGCCCCGGGAAGCCAGAGGCTCAGGCCCTCCCAGCTGGCATCAGGGCTGATCGGGGCTGAGACCGGTCATCGGAGCAGCCCATGTCCACTGTCCCCTGTCTCAGCAGCTCCCCGGGGGTCCCCCAAACCCCAACCCTCCCCCAGATAGGAGCACAAGCAGGGTGGCCAAGGAGCACCCCCCAGCTTACCCACGGACCCTGGCTCAAGACTGGTGGCCAAGGTGCACCCTCGCTGTACTAGGCAGTGGCCTCCAGTCCTGATGCCACCGACTCTTGGGGGCATGGCCAGTGCCCGAGGCGGATGCGTGCGCACACATGCTCCCAGGAGGTGTTTGTAACAACCCCAAACTGGAAATGACCCAGATGTCCATCAGAGCGCAGCCTGTTCACCTGCTCTTCCAGCTTCAGCAATTACAAACAAAGCAGTTAGAACACGTGTGTCCGTGTCTCAGAGGAGCATGTGCTGCCACTTCTCCCGGCGTGGACTGGCTGGATCACGTGGTTGGCGTCTGAATTTTTCAGAAACGGCCAAACTGTTTTCCGGCATGGCTGTGCCATTGTGCCTCCCACCCGTGATGTGAGTTCCAGCCCCTCCTCACCCTCCTGTATGCTTGACGTCGTCCGTTTTTAAAATTTTAGCCATTCTAACAGGTGTGCAGTGCTATCTGACTGTGGTTTTCATTTGAATTTTCCTAACGACTAATGGCGTTGAGCATCTTTCCATGCGTTTATTTGCCCTCTGTGTATCTTCTTTGATGAAGTGTCTGTTCTAACGTTTTGTCCATCCATTTTAAAATTGGGTTGCTTCAGTTTTGAGAGTTCTTTATATATTCTGCATTCGAGTCCTTCACTAAAAATACATACTTGGCAAAGATTTTTCTCCCAGTCAGGGCTTGTCTTTTTATTCTCTTAATAGTGTCAGAAGATACTATTAAGTGTCAAAACTTCTGTTCAAAAGAGCGGAAGTTCATTCTTTCCCTCCCTCCCTCCTTTCTTGCTTTCTTCTCTGTTCCTTCCTTCCTTCCTTCCTTCCTTCCTTCCTTCCTTCCTTCCTTCCTTCCTTCCTTCCTTCCTTCTTTCCCTCCCTCCCTCCCTCCCTTCCTTCCCTCTCTCTCTCTCTCTCTCGATGGAGTCTCGTGCTCTGCCGCCCAGGCTGGAGTGCAATGGTGCAATCTCGGCTCACTGCAACCTCTGCCTTTCCAGTTCTGGCAATTCTCCTGCCTCAGCCTCCGGAGTAGTTGGGACTACAGGTGAGTGCCACCCCGCCCGGCTAGTTTTTGTATTTTTGGTAGAGATGGGGTTTCACCATGATGGTCAGGCTGGTTTCAAGCTCCTGACCTCAGGTGATCCACCCACCTCGGCCTCCCAAATTGCTGGGATTACAGGCGTGCGCCACCTAGACTGGCCGAAGTTCTTAATTTTGGCAAAGCCCAATGTATTAATTTTTACTTTACACATCATGCTTTTAGTGTTGTGTCTAAGAAATCTTTGCCTAATCCAAGGTCATGATTTTATCATTATGAAAGGATCTTCTTTATTGCCAGTTCCTTGCTCTAAAGTCTACCTTTGTATTAATATTGCCACTTGATCTTTCTTTCTGTGTTAGCACGGTGTGTTTTTTCCTCTTCCTTTACTTTCAATAACTAATGTGTGTCTTTTACTTACAGTGAGATTCTCTGGGCAGCTTATAGAGTGATCTTGCTTTTTATTCTAGTCTGACAATCCACATCTTTTTATTGGGGGTGTTTAGACTATTACATTTAATGTAATTAGTGATGTGGCCAGGTGAAAAGCTACCATCTTGCTACTTGTTTTCTGTTCCTTCCATCTGTTCTTTGTCTTTCTTTTCTGCCTTCTTTTGGATTGACTATTTTTCCACAGTTCAGTTTTATCTCCTTGTTTGCTTATCTGCCATAACTTTTTATTATTTTAGTAGTTGTCTTAGAGTTTATAGTATGTCTACAACCTACTGTAGTCTCCTTTCCAAAGATATTATCACATTCCATATATAGAAGAAGAACCTTCCAGGCTGGGCACGGCGGCTTACGCCTGTAATTCCAACACTATGGGAGGCCAAGGTGGGAGGATCACCTGAGGTCAGGAGTTCGAGACCAGCCTGGCCAACGTGGTGAAACCCCATCTCTACTAAAAATACAAAAATTAGCTGGGTGTGGTGGTGGGCACCGGTAATCCCAGCTACTCGGGAGGCCCAGGCAGGAGAATTGCTTGAACCCGGGAGACAGAGGCTGCAGTGAGACAAGATCGTGCCACTGCATTCCAGCCTGGGTGACAGAACAAGACTCCATCTCAAAAAAAAAAAAAAAAAAGGTGCCTCACAGCTCCCTTCTCTTGGGTTGTGCAATTCTTGTCACCCATTTTGTGTCCACACACGATTCACACCGCACTGCATTGTTGGTATTTTTGTTTAATTAATTATTTTTTAAAGAGGCTTAAATAGTAAAAAAACTTCTATATTTACCCATACAATTACTATTTCAAATGCATTATTCCATCGTGTAGATCCATATTTCTTTTTTCTTTTCTTTTTTTTTTTGAGATGGAGTCTCGCTCTGTCACCCAGGCTGGAGTGCAGTGGCGTGATCTTGGCTCCCTGCAACCTCCACCTCCCGGGTTCAAGTGATTCTCCTGCCTCAGCCTCCCAAGTAGCTGTGACCTCAGGCACCCACCACAACGCCTGGCTAATTTTTGTGTTTTTAGTAGAGATGGGGTTTTACCATGTTGGTCAGGCTGGTCTTGAACTCCTGACCTCAAGTGATCTGCCTGCCTCTGCCTCCCAAAGTGCTGGGATGACAGGCCTGAGCCACCGAGCCCGGCCGTGGAGCCACATTTCTATCTGATTTCCTTTTCCACCCGCCTGAAGGGCTTTCTTTAACATTTCTTAATGGACACTGCAATGGTTATTTGTCTGAAAATATCTTCCTTTTGCCTTTGTTTTTGAAAGATGTTTTTCTAGGATGACAGCTTCTTCTTCCGTTTGTACTGTAAAGGTGCTGCTCTAGTTTTCTTACTGGCACAAGTTCCCCCGCCAAAAAAATCTGTTGTTATTTTAATATGTTTCCTCTTTGTAACACGCCCCCACCCCACAACTTAAGATTTTCTCTTTTACACTGATTCTGTATGATTAGGATTTGGTGTCATTTCCTTCATGTTTCTTGTACTTTGTACTCACTGAGCTTCTTGTATCTCTGGGTTTTAGTTTTCATTAATTTTTTTTTTTTTTTTTTGAAACAGAGTCTTGCTCTGTTGCCCAGGCTGGAGTGCAATGGCGCAATCTCGGCTCGCCGCAACCTCAAACTCTGGGGCTCAAGCAGTCCTTCCGCCTCAGCCTCCCGAGTAGCTGGGATTACAGGCGCCTGCTACCACACCCAGCTAATTTTTGTATTTTTAGTAGAGATGGGGTTTCACCATGTTGGCTGGGCTGGTTTCAAGCTCCTGACTTCAGGTGATCCACCTGCTTTGGCCTCCCAAATTGCTGGGATTACAGGCGTGAGCCACCGCACCCAGCCAAGTTTTCCTCAGATTTGAACAAATTATGGCCATGATTTCTTCAATTTTTCCTGTCCTCCTCTCCCTTCGTGGGCTCCGTTTACAGACGTGTCAGGCTGCGCGAAGCTTTGCCACCTACTGCTCGCTAAGGAGCTGTTTATTTTTTGGATTCTTTTGTCTTTCTGTGTCTCTATTATGTCTTCAAGTTCACCGCTGTCCTCTTCTGCATTGTCGCATCCGTTGTTAATCCTGTCCAGTGTGTTTCATCTCACACATAGTCATTTTCATCTTTAGATGTTTAATTTGGATCCTTTTTTATATGTTTCATGTTTTTTACTAAATACGTTCAATTTTCAGCATAGCATTTTGATGACATGGAATACTGTCGTAACGCCTGTTTTAATGTCTTTGTCGGCTAATTCCAACATCTGTGTTGGTTTTGTGGTTTGGATTAGTTGAATTTTCTCCTGATTATGGGTGGAATTATCCCCTTTCTTTACCTGCCTGGTACTCTTTGAATGGAGGTTGGACTTCGTGAATTTTACCTCGTGGGCTGCTGGATACTTTTGTGTCCTGGGGCTTTGTTCTGGGACATAATTAAGGGATTGGAGAGAGTTTGGGCCTCCTGGGCCTCGTGTGGCTCGTAGGTGGGCTCAGAGCAGTGCTGAGTCCAGGGCAAACTACGCCTCACCATTGAGGCAAGACCCTGAGGGGCACTCTGCCCACCGCACCGTGAACTTTGAGTGGCGAGGTTTCTCGGTGGTGCTGGCGGGAGCAGTGCTTTTCCCAGCCTCTGTGAGCTCCGCTGCTCTTCCTTCCAATCCTTCGGGTCGTTGCTCGCCAGCCTTAGTCTCCTCCCAGGCACGTGCTGAGCGGGTTCCCTGCCAAACGCTCAAGACGGACCTTCTGCAGGTCTCCAGGCTTTGCTCTGGGCAGCTCTCTCCCTGCCAGTGTCCTGTGCACTCCAGCTGCCGTGGTCTCCCCGGCCTCTCATCTGAGCTCTTCCTGAGTTCTCCTTCCTGGCCCCTTGTCCTGGAAACCCTCAGGCGGTGACCTGGGCAGTTTAGGGCTGTTTCCTGTCTGCCATGGACTGAACGTTTGTGTCTTCCCCACCCTCCGGTTCCTGTGTTGAAATCCTGGTGCCCAAGGTGACGATATTAGGAGGTGGGGACTTGGGGAGGTGGCAGAGCCCTCAAGAATGGGGTTAGTGTCCTTACAGGAGAGATCCCAGAGCCGGGCGCGGTGGCTCACGCCTGTAATCCCAGCACTTTGGGAGGCCGAGGCAGGTGGATCACCTGAGTTCAGGAGTTCGAGATGAGCCTGGCCAGCATGGAGAAACCCTGTCTCTACTAAAAATATGAAAATTAGCTGGGCATGGTGGTGGGCGCCTGTAATCTCGGCTACTCGGGAGGCTGAGGCGGAGAATCACTCGAACCTGGGAAGTGAGCTTGCAGTGAACCGAGATTGTGCTACTGCACTCCAGCCTGGGTGACAGAGTGAGACCCTGTCTCGAAAAAAAAAAAAAAGAGACCTCAGAGAGCTCTCCCACCCCTTCTACCAGAGGCGAAGGGGACCCAGTGGGAAGGTGCCGTCCGTGAACCAGGGAGTGGCCTCACCAGACATCGAATCTGCCAGAGTGTGGATCTTGAACGTCCCGTCCTCTGCAGCCGTGGAGATGCGTGTCTGTTGCTTTTATGCCGCTCAGGCCATGGCGTTTCCGGATAGCAGCCAGGTTGGAGGGACCCGCTGTCTCTCTGGGACCACTCTCTTCGTCGCCTGATGTCCACCGTCTTGACAGATGTTGTTTCCCATATTTCCTGGAGTTTTTTAGTTGCTAAATCCTGGCCTCTGCTACTCTCTTTGCTAAAAATGCTAGTCCTTGATGAAATGGAATCTTGATACTTTAATACAGAGTGGAACATAGTCACTAAATAAAACCTGGAAAAATGTAGAAGAGTAGCAGGAAGAGAACACACCCCAGCCCCGCGGTCCACCCACCCGCAGTCCCTATCGCCACCTCCTGGCTCTGGTTTCCCTGCTCGTGGGGCTGGGCAGCATTGCTGCAACTCTTGATTCGCTTTCCTGGGGCCACCATAACCAAGCAGCACAACCCGGGAGATGGCTCAGAGTCTCTCTGCGTCCTGGGAGCCTGAGATCCAGGAGTGGGTGGGTTGGAGAATGGTTCTCCCTGGGTCACTCTGGAGGACCTCTTAAGGTGGACTTCTTAAGGGACCCCCGGCTCCCACCTTGCCAAAGAGCCTCCGAGCCACACCTGCCTCCCGCAGGCCTCCAGTTGGTGCCCACATGCAGCCCCCGCCGTGGGGTCACCCTGGGGTAAGGGTCTCTCCTCCCCTGCTAACCTTCTGCTGGGTCTTGGCATCCCTGGGATGAACCCTCCTGGCCTGGACCTTGCCGGCCCACATCAACCCCCAGCCCTCTGCTCCTTGGCCTCACCCACAGCCTGCAGAATGTAGGTGAGTTTCCTGATGATAATATAATAATAGCAATGATGATGATGATGATGATGATGGCAATAACAATGATGACAGTCAACACTGCCGCGTGCCGGGCTCTGGCCCTTTGCATGTCTGGGCCGGCTGTACAAGGCACTGCTGGGGCTCCCGGGCTGGGAGCCAGGGACAGGCACCGTCACAGCAGCCAAGGGGCCCCCCTACCACCCCAGCACCTGCTGGCCCTGAACCAGCTGCTCCTTGAGAGCTTTGACAGACTCTTCCGCTTGGCAGCATTTTAATCTGCTGGTGCAAGAGCCTTGTCGCTTCCTCAAAGCCTGTGCCCATGGCCGTGGGCAGCTGCCTGTCCCTGTATAGGCAGAGCTGCGTCATGCCCTGTGGCCCCAGGTCTGGCTCTGGGGTTCTGGCTGGGCGGGGCCTGGAACCTTCTGGGAGTCACCATTGACTGGCTGCAGCCACCGGCTTCCCAGCAAGGATGTCCTCTTCTGTAGGAAAATGGGGACGTCGGGAGCATTCTCTGGACAGCAGGAGATGCATGTCGACAGGCTGGCCCTGCCTCTTCCCACCCCAGAGTGGTGAGTGGGGATTCTGGGGACTTCCCTGGCCCCCATGGGCCTCGCGTGTCCTGGTGCCCATGTGTCTCCAGTCCCAGGGTCGGCCACGGTGTGGACCCCTCCACTTTCCTCCAGGCCTGAGGTGGGGCCCGGGCGGCCTGTCAAAGAAGAGCCCAGCCCAGACCCTCCCCAGATCCCTGGGGGAAGGAGGCCACCAGGCACCCTGCCTTCCTGCTGCCTGTCAGGGTGAATCTCAGGGGACCCTGGTGCAGGAGGGGCTGGCTCTGAGCTGGACAGGCCTCTGGGGTTGCCCTGGTGGCCTTCCCTCTCTCTGGGTCAGACGTGCCCAGGCAGGGAGGGTCCAGGCCATGACAGAGCCGGGCCAGCTGGGGACAGGGCATCCCCCAGTGCAATCCTTGTAGCGAACGGGTCCTAGAGTGCAGCTGGCGGGACACTCCCGCCATCACTGGATTTACTGCAGGTGGAGACGGGTTCTGTACCCACGTAGATGAGGAAACAGGCACAGAGAGGGGGCAGCCTGCCCAAGGTCACCGGGGAGGGAGTGGAGAGGCTGGATGCCCTTGGGCCCAGACTGCAGCCTCCCCTCCCCGATGTGCTGCGGCCCCAGTGTCCTGGGCCCCATGTGGCGCCTGAGCCCACAGGTGTCACCAAAGGTCTGAGTTGCGGGGACAAAGGCGGGGACAGGCCCGAGGTGCGGGGACAAGGGCGGGGATGGGCCTGAGGTGCAGGGACAGAGGCGGGGACAGGCAACCCCTGCGGTTCGAGGGGTAGGTGGCCACACGTCAGTCCCTGGGAGGGCCAGGCAGGAGGTGGGCCCAGCGGGGCTGGGAAATGAGGGGCCAGTGCCCCCACGCTCACTGCAGGGGATGTGAGAGGGCGAGTGGTCGCTCAGCCACACCCACACCCGTGTGTACAGGACCCACGCCCGCCCGCCTTGCTGTCCCGCCCGTGCACGGCTCACACAGCTTCTCCCATTATTCAGGCGCTGCCGGGCCCTGCAGGACTCAGATCGTCCCTGTGCCACTTGGCAGGGTCACCCTCACGCCTGCCCGGTGGCCCCACCTGCCCCACCTGCCCAGCTTCTCTCCCTTCTCAGTGCTGTCTGTCCCAGAGCCTCCCATCAATGGGGCCAGAGGGCTCTGGCCCGGCTGTGGGCTGACTGTTCTCCCCAAGATGCCTGAGAGCCACCCGGGCACCGGACTTGCCAACATGCAGGCACACGCAGGCACACACCTGGGCCACACGGCCCTGAGCACACGCCTTGCCCAGCCCTCCTCCGGGCTGTGGTGCGGGTGCCAGGTGCCACCTGCTGGCGGGCTACAGCATCACGGCTCTCGCCCTCCGGAACCTTCCATGGTGCCACACCAGCCTCTGGTCTGGCTGCAGACGGCTTGGGCTGGGCAGGGAAGCTTCCACTGTCGGGGAACCTGGGACCACAGTCTTTGCTCCAAGCGCCCTGGGCGGGTAGAGGCCAGGTCCGGTATGAGGAGCCCTGGTTCCCTGAGGTAGACAGAGCCAGGCAGACGTTGAGGAGACATGGGGGCTGTAGCCCTGGCCCCACTGCCCGACTCTCTCTCTGCATTTCGGGAGCTGGCAAGATCCAAGGGGGTCCCCAAGGCCCTGAGGCTGCACTGAGCACCCCTTTCCTGCTCATTTTCAGATGCAGCGGTGTCCTGGACCCCTGGGGAGAGGTGACCCCCCCAGCAGGAAGCTGGGCCTGGTTTCTGTCCCTCTGCAGCCACAAGGCCTGGCTAGGATGCTGGGAGCACCACACCCTGGAGACTCAGCTCACCAAGGACTCAGGGGCGGGGGCTCCCCTGGCACCTGGGAAGCTGGGCCCCCGGCCCCCTGGACTCCCACCCAGACACCATCTCAACCCAGGTCTGTCTGCTCTCCCCGTCACTGCCCTGGGTTCTCCACTCCTGGACCCGACCCTGGTCCTGGGGCAGTGTCCCAGCTGCTGTGTCCCAGGCCCCCCATCCACTGCCCTTGGCCCACCTTCTATGTGGCCCATTAGAGGGGTGTGGGGGCTGCAACCTGCTTCTGCTGAACCCCTAGGCCTGCCAGGGGGCATCAGGATTCTGCACAGAGAGGCAGGGGACCCGGCCAGACATGCAGGTACCCACGTACCTAATTCTGGGCCTTGGGGCAAGGACTGCGTATTTATCCTGGCCCAGGCAAGTCTGGGGGTGTCTGAGGGGTGGTGAGACGTCTGGGCAGATTGTCCCTGCCCTGCTCTGCTCTGCCCCACCCTGGCCAGCCCTCCTGGCTTCTCAAGGTGCTCCTGGCCACGATGGCACAGTCCCCCAGGCCCAAAATGTGCCCCCATGCTGCCCGAATGCCAGTGCGGGGGCTGGTAGCAACCAAGGCCATGCCCTCCCCTCCCCCTCCTGGGGCACCTGCCCCCACGCTGTGGCCATGGCTCCCTGGCTCCACCAGCTTCTTGTGACCCCTGAGGCTCCCCAGCTCCTGGCCCCCCATGGAGAGTTCCCTCCCCATAAGGGGGGGCCAGACACCCCCCTGTGCCCACTCCTTGGGAGACTGGCATTAGATCCTGGCTGTGGGACAGGCTGGGCCACTCTGGGGGTGAGACCAGGCTTCTCCCACCTGGGGGACCCATCCTGGCTCCGGACTTGGGCGGGTGACAGCCTGGGTTTCCTGTGTCCTCACCGCCCGCTTATCAGCAAGATGGGGATGTGGATGACAGGAGTGCTGGCCACGGAGGGCCTGGTGTGGGTGGCCGTCGGGACGAGGGTAGTGTGGGCGGCCACGGCAGTTGGTGCTACTGCTGGGAGGGGCCGAAGGTGAGGCCCTCCTGGGCTGTGGGTCCCTGTAAGCCACTGCCCCCGTGGGGTGTGCAGTCACCAAGCCGACCTGCTGCCGGGGTTCCGCCCCCTCCCTTTCCCTTCTGCTTCCCCGGCACCTGTGTCCCAAGCCTGAAGCCCTGTCCGTGTCAGAGGTGGCACCTCCCTGGGCACGGGCACTTGGACGCTGGTGCCTCCCCTGCTGCGGACCCCTTTGCTGTGGTCAGGGCCTCCTCCCTGCACTGGCCCCGCCTGTGACCGCAGGCCTGGCGGGGCCCTCAATGGCCACAGAGGGCACAGGCCGGGGCCAGGAGGGCACCGTCTCCTGGGGCACAGATATGCTGGAGTGAGCTATGGAATTGTCCATCAGCAGCGGCAAGCTTTGCTGAGCGCCAGCTGTATGCAGAGCAAAGGCGGGCCAGCCGGGAAGGGCCAGTGAGGACCTGGAGTCCCCAGCATCCCCAGGAGCCTGCACCCCTACGCGGGGGACGCCTGGGCAGCTCCTCCCTCCTCCACTCCCCGCCCTCTCCTCCCCTCCTTCCTGCAGTTCCCACAGCTGTTTGGGTGCCTCCCGTGGCGCCTGGTTGAGCTGCAGGGGGAGATGTGTGTGGACACTGCAACCCTCCCGAAGCTGGGCCTGGAAGAAATGACTTCCCCAGAACCTTATCTGGGCCGGAGAGGGGCGTTGGCAGCGGGGGTCTTGCCGCCTTCCGGTCCTCTGCATGCCAGGCACCACCTGGGGCCGGGCCAGGGCAGGCTGCCTGGACACCATGGACCTGCCCAGCTGTAGGGGAGGTGTGTCCTGCAGCCCTACCCGAGGCCCAGGCCTGCGTGGCTGAGAGGACTGAGGACGGCTGACCCCCTTGGTGACTGCCTGGGCCCAGAGGGGAGTTGGGGGAGTGGTCAGCTGGGTGTGGCCAGCCCTGGGGGAAGGATCCAGGGACTGTGTCCACTTAGGGATAGGAGGCAGCTAGCAGAGCCCTCCCAGCTGACCAGGGGAGGCCCTGTGGGCACAGGAGGGGCCCCAGGTGTAGGTACAGGTGCAGGGCTGTGCGGCTCTGTGTCACCCAGGTGGAGCGTCTTGCCCCGTTTGATGGCTGACAAAGTGCCCTTGAATGCGTCAGACCCAGCGTGGTCCCAGGGTCCTGACCCTAACATACCACCCCAAATTACCCTCACCCCAGCCTACCCCTGCCCTAAATTCACCCCAAGCCTCCACCCAAACCCCTTAGTCCCAACACCTTAACCCTAGACCCAACCCTACACCCCAAGCCCTAATCCCTAACCGCTAGCCTCACCCTAACCTTCCTACCGGATGCCACCTGGCAAACATCCTCCTGGCCCCTATCTGCCCCTCCCCCGGGGATCCGGGAGGCAGTGGGGTCCCTGGGAGGCTGCTCCCTGCAGAACGCGATGGACAGATGCATGGGCACCGGGCCCCAGCACCCTCTGGCTTCCTTCATCCTCCCCAGGCACTTCCCCCGGGCCAGAGGGCAGCCTGGCAGCCCTGGACTCCGGGAGGGCCGAGTCTGGGGAGCTGGACGACGTCACATTCCACTCTTGATGATGCCGCCCCAGTCCTACAATCTGGACAGCAGGAGAAGCTGCCCATTTCCTCCATCTCCGGTAATGAGAAGCAAATGCTGATCCTGGCCGTCTCCTGGCTCTTGGGTCCCTAGGTTCCTGCTGCCCCTGCCAGTTCCTGGAAGATGCCAGCAGGAGGGAGGGCAGTGGAGCTGGACTTGCGCCCACAACAGGATCTGGCCATAAACGCAGTCAGGGCGAGGCTGCGGGGTGGGTGGCTGAGCCTCCTGGTGGACTATCTCCCCTCCCACCCCCCGCCCTGGCCCGCAGCTGTTGGCTCTTCCTGGGAAGCCACAGCCTTTGTTTGTTCCTTGAAGGAGCTGGTGCGTTGCCTGCGAGCTCCTCTGCAGGCTTGGGGGTCGCACCTGCTGTCCACCCCCCTCGAAACCAGCTCCATCCAGCAGCAGGCTGCAAGCCTGGAGAGGCCACCGGGGACCAGGCAGGGAAACTGAGGTCCCAAAAAGGCAGGGAACAGGTGCAGGGGGCCTGTCTGACCTGCGCTGGGACTGGGCCAGGTGAGTCTCCTCCAGGGCCCAGCCCCATCTTGGACAGAGGAAGTTGATAGTCAGGAAAGGCAGGAGTGGCCTCTTCTAACAATTTCAGCTCTGAAGGGGCCAAGGGTGGCGATGCTGACAGCATTTCCTCCAGCTCCCACCTGCCTGCTCCGGGGAACTCCCTACCCAGGCATTGATATTCACCTGGTGATACTAATAATTGTCTCAGGTGATAAATTGTCTCAGCTGCTCTCCCACATGGCCCACAGGTCCCTGGAGGTTCCCCGGATCCTTTCAGGGAAGACCATGGGCCCTAAACGATCTTCATAACAAAACTGAGAAGTGGCCTGGCTTCTTCACTGCGTGCCTGTGTGCTGGGATCTAGCGTGGCCCGACTGGGCAGCTCCTTTCCTTCCCTGACGCTGCTCCAGGGGAAAGAAGGACCAGGGTCAATCCGGGGTGCCCCAGGTGGATCAGCGAATGCCCCTGAAGCCAGGTGCCAGTTGCATCCCCGTCAGATGCCCCCACCCCAGTCTCCTGAGCCTCATTAGTCACCCCTCATTTTCCTCTGGGGACCCCAGGCCCCAGCTCCTGTCTGGTTAGAGGCTGAAGGGGTCTGAGCGACACCTACCCTAGGGGACCTCCGGAGGGGTCTTGGTGTCCTCTGACTTCTGTCCTCAGAAGGGAGCTCAGAATGCAGCTGAGGCTTCCCCTGGGGCCCAGGGTGTCTGTGTCCGAGCCACAGCCAGAGTGTGCCCTGGAGAGTCGCTGGGATGCACGGTGGGCTCTCGTCATCCTGTCCCCACTCCAGGCTCAGGCTGGAGCCGTGATGGCACCGCTGCACTCCAACCTGGGCAACAGAGTGAGACCCTGTCTCTATAAAATAAAAACAAAAATAAAGAAGAGCATGTGGTTTCTGCAGTTTCCTGGCCAAAAATGCATAACTCCAATCTCAATCATAAGAACACATCCAACGTCCCCAACAAGGGGAGGTTCTACACACACCTGCCCAGAGCCCCTCAAAAGTGTCAAGGTGTGAAAGACATGGAGGCATGTAGAAGACGGGAGAGCCAGTGTGGCCTGTGGTATGTTCATGACGGTCACAGGTCAGCGCCCACGGTCACTCAGCAGCCATGCCAGGCAGGCCCCAGGGGCCCAAGAGGAAGGTGGGATGTGGCGGGATGGGGGCTCTGCACGGCCCTGCAGCACAAGTGCCCTGCCGACTCCAGGGGCAGCAATCTGGTCCCCTCATGGTGCCATTCCCCAGGGACGGGTCCTCGCCTGCCTCGCCGGCCCTCCACAGACAGGACAGGGACAGGTCGTCAGCTGTCACGGAGGCCCTCGCAGTTTTCTGAATGTGGACTTGCTGTTCCTGCCCATGGCTTCGTCCACGGACTCGACAGCACCCCACTGTCCATCACACCCCCACCGATGCTGCTTCCCACAGCAGGACTCATCCCATGCTCAGGCAGTGCTCCCAGGAGCAGCGGGTTAATAGAGCGTGGGACGGCCCCTGAAGACCAGTTATGGCGCCGGCCAGGAGGCCCTCTGAAAGGACGGGCGCAACCCCGCAGAACAGACCAGGTGCTCGCCATCCATGTCCGGTGCCGCTTCTCTGTGGCGATGGTATCCAGGAATCACGGGTGGGAGTCACGGCCACAGTCCCTGTCGCACCAGCCGCCTGCCCACACAGCCACCGTTCACTCTAGCTTGAAGGTCCCGCTTCCTCAGGGAGGAGCACTCCCTCCAGGGTCGAGGTGCTGGCCGTGTGGAGTTCGACGTCGGGACTGTCCCCAGGGGCCTCTCTTCCCACTGAATCGACAGAGAGAATGTGAGCTTGCTGTCCGGCGGGCGGGGCCGGGGATCCTGTCCGTCGAGGGGACACCGGATTGCTGCGGAGAGAGGACTAGACCCAGAGTCCAGCCAAGACCAGAACTGAGACCAGGCGACCAGCAGAGCCTGCACAATAATAATGCTTCGTTTTGCAAATGTATTTTGTTCTTTTATTGTATATATTTATCATGTCCAATGTGATGTTTTGAAACGTGTTTACATTGTGCTTAAATCAAGCAGCATAACACACATGACTTCACATACTTCCCATTTTTTTGTGGTAAGAACACTCAAATTCTACTCGCAATGATTTTCTTTCTTTTTTTCTCTCTCTTAATGATTTTCAAGGATGCAATATGGTGTTATTAACTGTAGTCACCATGCTGTGCAGTACATCTCTTGAATTTATTCCTTTTGTCTAACGGAACTTTTTTTTTCTTTTTGAGATGGAGTTTGCTCTGTCGCCAGGCTGGAGTGCAGTGGCACGATCTCGGCTTACTGTAACCTCTATCTCCCAGGTTCAAGCAACTCTCATGCCTCAGCCTCTGGAGTAGCTGGGATTACAGGCACCCGCCACCACGCCCAGCTAATTTTTTTGTTTGTTTGTTTTTTGAACCGGAGTCTCACTCTGTTGCCAGGCTGGAGTGCCGTGGTGCCATCTTGGCTCACTGCAACCTCCGCCTCCTGGGTTCAAGCGATTCTCCTGCCTCAGCCTTCTGAGTAGCTGGGATTACAGGCGCCTGCCACCATGCCTAGCTAATTTTTGTATTTTTAGTAGAGATGGGGTTTCACCATGTTGGCCAGGATGATCTTGATCTCCTGACCTCATGATCTGACCGCCTCAGCATCCCAAAGTGCTGGGATTACAGGCATGAGCCACCGCGCCTGGCCTAATTTTTGTATTTTCAGTAGAGACGGGGGTCTCATCATGTTGGCCAGGCTGGTCTCGAACTCCTAACCTCAGGTGATCTGCCTGCCTCTGCCTCCCAAAGTGCTGGGATTACAGGCATGAGCCACTGTGCACGGTCTGTAACAGAAACTTTGTACTCTTGGACCAACCCCTCCCCAGTTCCCAGCCCCTATGTCCCTGGGTCCTCTCTCTGCTTCTGTGAGTTCAACTTTTCTAGGCTCCACTTATGTGTGAGATCATGCAGTGTCTGTCTTTCTGGGCCTGGCTTCCTTCATTCAGCATGAAGTCCTGCAGTTCATCCATGTCGGCACCAATGACACAATTCCCTCTTCTGTGGAGGAACAGTTCTCTGACGTGGATGCACCTTCCTTGGCTGCTGGACGCTGAGGCTGGTTCCATGTCTGGCCGTAGTGGACAGCGCTGCGGCGAACATGGGGTGCGGGTGTCTCTTCTGCGTACTGATGTGGCCTCCGCGTGTCACGCCCGGGAGTGGGACAGCTGGATTACGTGGTGGTTCTGTTTTCAGTTTTTTGGGAATCTCCATGCTGTTTTCCATAACGGCCATCATCACAGACTTCTTATCATGAAATCATTTTAGACTCGTAGAATCCTGGTAAAAATAGTATAGAGAATGGTGATCTGTCATCTCTGGGCAGGGCAAAGGGAGCTGGGGCGACCAGGCAGGAGGGAGGTTTGCTTTCATGATCTGTTCTTTACCTATTCAAAAACAATTAAAATAAAGGCCAAGGCAGATGGATCACTTGAGGCCAGGAGTTTGAGACCAGCCTGGCCAGCGTGGTGAAACCCCATGTCTACTAAAAATACAAAAATTAGCCGGGTGTGGTGGGGCACACCTGCAATCCCAGCTACTCGCGAGGCTGAGGCAGGAGAATTGCTTGAACCTGGGAGGCGGAGGTTGCAGTGAGCCGAGATCGCGCCACTGCACTCCATCCAGCCTGGGTGAAAGAGTGAGACTCTATTGCAAAAAAAAAAAAGAAAAGAAAAAGAAAAAGAAAAGAAAAACCAGAAAAAACACATAAAATGCGCCATTGCACTCTAGCCTGTGTGACAGAGTGAGACTCCATTTCAAAAAAAAAAAAAGGCTGGGCACGGTGGCTCATGCCTGTAATTCCAGCACTTTGGGAGGCTGAGGCGGGTGGATCATGAGGTCAGGAGATCGAGACCATCCTGGCTAACACGGTGAAACCCTGTCTCTACTAAAAATACAAAAACTTAGCCGGGCGTGGTGGCGGATGCCTGTAGTCCCAGCTACTCAGGAGGCTGAGGCAGGAGAATGGTATGAACCCATGAGGCGGAGCTTGCAGTGAGCCGAGATTGCGCCACTGCAGTCCAGCTTGGGTCGCAGAGACAAACAAACAAACAAACAAAAAAACCCAGAAAAAAACCACAAAAAAACCCCCATTAAAATAATTTAAAATTTTAAAATAATGTTTAGTAAAATAATGTTTAATAAAAAATAATGTTTAATGTTTAATGTGAGAAATGCTTATATGGTAAAAAATAAGGAAAAAGGATAATTTAAAAAAGAGTGAGAAGAAAATAGAGTCAGATATTTATCTGATCTTTAGAGAAGAGCACTTTTCTAAGCATACAAACAAAGGAAGAAATAATAAAGAAAAAAAGTGACAAATGTGTTACCTCCCTAAAAACGCGTGCGTAAGAACAAGGGTTTGATCCTCACTGACGGGGTCCCAGGTGCTGACTCGAGTCCAGCAAGCCCCAGAGCCAGAGGCTGAGTGCAAACCACGGAGGTGACCTCCATGGCAAGAGCGGTGTGGCGTGTCCGTCCCGCACAGACAGAAATGCGGTCCAGGGGTGTGGGAGGACCATGAAGGGGTCACGCTGAACGTGCTGCAGGTGCCCACCAAGCAGACAGTCTGCCTTTCGAGGTGTGGTTCAGGGAGTTAGCAGGGCGCTAACCGCTGGCTGCTTCGTTGGGTGCAACATAGACAGAAAAGGGGTCACATTAAACTGGAAAGGCCAGACCTGGCTTGGTTTACTGTGGAGGAAGGGATGCAAAGGCCTAGGGAGATTGGAAGGCTAGGGTAGGTTTGTCACTTAAGACCTCCTCACCCACCAGAAGGTCCAGAAGACAGACCTTTCCCCACACTGGGAACTAGATTAGTGAGTGGGGTAGAAATAGGGACAGATCCCTGGGCTGCTCTTCTCTGAGGGCCACAGACCTCACAGTGGGAGCCACAGCCACTCAGCTGGAAAAGAGTCGCAATGGGAAGAATCGACCCGGGACAGCCGAGCGGTGGCTTTCAGCCGTCAGAGGCGAGGGGGACCTGGGACTGCCAGGAGGTGGCTCTCAGCCGTCAGAGGCGAGGGGGACCTGGGACTGCCAGGAGGTGGCTCTCAGCCGTCAGAGGCAAGGGGGATGCGGGCGCCATCATGAGTAGCAGAGGCAGAACGACAGTCAAGCTGGGCTGACCCCTTAGCCACAGCTCTCCTAGGAGGAAAACAGAAAGCCTGGGAAGATGGTACTGGATCTGCGGGAGGCCAAGGTCGGGGTGTCACCTGAGACCAGGAGTTCAAGACCAGTCTGGGCAATATCGTGAGAACCCCATCTCTAAAAACTAAAAAATTAGCTGGGCTTGGTGGTGCACACCTGTGGTCCCAGCTACTCAGGAGGCTGAGGCAGGAGGATGGCTTAAGCCCAGGTGTTCAAGGCTACAGTGAGCCAAGATTGCATCACTGCACTCCTGCCTGGGCAACAGAGCGAGACCCTGCCTCAAAATCAATCAATCAATCAATAATCATGTTCTCAGCAAATATTTAACTTCCCCGATATATTGTGGGGGAAAAGAGGCTGTAAAACAATCTGTGGTAATAACCAGGAGAACTTAGGAGCACCCGTGGGTGCCCATGCGGGCAGAGATTCACGAACACTGTTCACCCCCATAACCAGCAAGGGTGCTGCTATCCAGAACCCATCGCAGATGAGCAACTGTGCCTGCCCAGGCCAGGCCACGGCACCCAGCAGCCGGGACCCCTCCCCACCTGAAACGATACTGCCACCTGGGGACCCCAGGCCGCTGACATGGGGACGCGCTAGAGCTTTCGAACACGTCTCTGCATCTGGACATGCCCTCGGTGCACGTGTATTGCTTTAAGTTCAGAGACGTCAAATGTCATTTAATGAAAAGACTCCGGCTACATAATTGTCCCCAGGAATGCCCAGGACAATGTCAGGAATCTCCCAGACCTGCACAGAAGGTGGGAAAGATTTTGAAGGATTAAGAGGCTTCTCGGGGGAGGGGGAGGGGGACATTTTTCTTCCACCCACGGACAGTTTTGTGTTTTCTGATTTCTGTAACGAGTGCCACAGCTCTGTATGGAAAACAGCACTGCCTTTGGCGTCCCTCCCAATTCCTGGCACATGAGTCAAGGGCTCCCATAGCGTCACCGTTGAGGGCAGGGCAGCCCCGGGCTCACAAAGTAAAGAAGGAAAGGGCCAGGCCTCACTGCAGGGTCACCCCGAGGCCATAAAATCCTGCACCTTATGCCTTGGGCACCATTTAATACAATTAAACGGTGCAATAAAGGAAGGGAGTAATAAAGAAAGCAAATGTCAGCCAGCGAGGACATCCGGCACAGGCCACACCCCAGGTCCAGCCCCACTAGGGTGGAGTTTGAGGTCCCTGGGAACCCCAGAGTCTATGCACTGCTGTGCCCAGCTAATTTTTTAACATTTCTGCAGAGACAAGGTCTCCCTAGATTGCCCAGGCTGGTCTCGAACTCCTGGCCTCAAGCGGTTTTCCCAATGTGGCCTCTCCAAATGCTGGGATTATAGGTGTGAGCCAGTGGGCCCGGCCACGTGCTCTTATGTAGCTTATCAGAGTGTATGACGCTGCCTGTCCCATTGCTGGGGATGTTAACCTTGAACCCTTGGTTCAGGTGGCGTCTGCCAGGTCTCTGCACTGCAAAGTTACTATTTTGCGACTTTGTAATTAATAAATATCTTAGGGAAGATACTTTGAATTCATGTAAATAACTTGTTTCTCTTCTAACCTCAGCCTATTGACTTTAGCATACCTCTGTAGACAGCTGTTAATCCTGTGGCCTCTGATGGTGATTTTCTATTTACTTCATTTCTTCTGCATTAAGTAACTGGAATTCTATTAAAATAAGCTGTTTCTTCTTATTTGTTTGTGCAGTTATTTACTTCACTATGGGTTTGTAGATACTTATTTTATTATTTGGGTTATAATCCAACATTATCTTTATTTTGTTTCTCAAATTGTTCCAGTGTTGGCCATGGCAGCCCCTTCACAGTGGCTCCTGTGTGCTTTCACCCTATCTGTTTTTGAGCCCTTCCTCACTTTCTGGCACCATAAAATGCTCCAGGTTTATCTTGTAATTTCCTTCCCCAGAGACCCAGCTACTTCTCTAAGGAGTCCTGATTCTTTTAATTGGAAAATGGTATTTAGAAACCAAGATCTGGACATTGGGTGTGGTAGTTACTACTGGGGTGTCATTTTTTTTTGGTAGACCTTCTCAGGGGAGAATACTAGAAAGCATCTGTATATACCCTAATCCATACACACACACATTCACACACACACACACACACACACACACGTGCGCACACACATTTCTACCTATCTCTTCTATCTCTCTATCCGTCTATCATCCATGAAACACATTGTTGTAAGCCCTTGGTTTTTGGGTGCTTTGTTATGCAGCAATAGCTGACTGATACATGCGGCTGGGATTGTGCACACTGTATTTTCAGGCTCTTTGACCAGATGTCTTCCTGGAAGGCACTGGTGGGAGGTGAGGAGAGGAGATTTCTGTTCCTTCACCAGCTTCTTTCAGGGCCCTCCAGCCATAGAGGGGGGTGGCTACTCCAGCCCACCACTTCTTTTGGCACTCCCAATACTGGCTCTGCCACTCCATCCTTTCTCTGTGCTCCTGGGTTCTGGCAGCCCAACCTCTTTCATTTGTTCCCCCAGCCCTGGGAGTGGAAGCTGCTTCCTGCTGTTCACAACGTCAGGTGCCTCGGTGCCCGTCTTCTCTTCCAGCCTCCAGCACCTGTGTAACCAGTTCTCTGTATTAACTTCCTTCTGTTTGAAATAACGAGTGTGGCTTCCTTTTCCTGACTGACTGCACAGTGATGGATGTCAAGTGGACTTTCAAGGTGAGTCTGAGGTACAGAAGCTGGAGATGCACTAGCGGGTGGATGAGGAGACAGACCCTCAGGAGGGAGGGGAACGTGCGGTTTAGCCAAAGCCGCATGTAGGGAAAATCCACCACGTTCCACTCCTACATGGGAAAAGAAGGAAAGCCTCAAATCAATGGTCTCTCTACCGTAAGAAATTAGGAAAGAAAGAGAAGAGCAAATTAAGCCCAACGTGAGCAGGAAAAGCAAAATCATCAATAAAACAACAAAATGAAACACTAGAGAAAAGTCAACAAAACCAAAAGCTGGTTCTTTGAGAAGATCAATTAGACGGATAAACCCCTAGCCAGGCTGGAGAATAAAAGAGAAAACAGACAAATTACCAATGTTAGGAACAAGACAGGTGACGCCACTGTGGATTCTACACATATTACAAAGATAATAGGGGGACATCATGAACTACTTCAAGTCGAAACATTTGGCAGCCCGGATGAAAAGGACAAACTCCTTGGACACAGGATGAATCGAAGATCACTTGGGCAGAAATAACTTGAATGGCCCTATATGTTAAAGGAATTGAATTGTAAATAAAACACAACAAAGCCTTCCTGCAAAGAAAACCCCAGGCCCAGATGGTTTCACTGGTGAATTCTACCAAAGATTTAAGAAAGAAGTATGTCAACTCTGCACAAACCCTTCCAACAATAACTGAAAAGAGAGGAACACCTTCAACTCTTCCTCTGAGGCCAGTATTACCCCGATTTCAAAACCACATAAAAACATTATAAGAAGACTATGAACCTTTCCTTTGAAAGCAGTCTTTAGATACAAGCTTTATCTGACACATTAACATGTTAGACTGCTTTCAAATGAAAGACTGTGTATCAAATGAAAGAAGGGGCTTATGAAGGTGTTGGAAATGAGATCATCGGGAAAAGAGTGTGGGAAGGGGCTTTCCTATCCCTCTTATTTACAACCCAACTTAATAAACACACGGTATACTATTTCCTGCTATTCTTTGTCCTATGTTTCCTGGTTATTTTGATAATGTACTTTACCACTGTGGCCAGTTCTTCTCCTGACTCTTTCACATAAATAAAGTGTCCATATTTCTGGAAAAAAAAAAAAGAAGGCTATGAACCAACATCCCTCATAAACACAGATGTAAAAATTCTAAACAAATTAAAAAAATATTTTACTTTAAGTCCTGGGATGCATGTGTAGAACGTGCAGGTTTGTTACATAGGTAAACGTGTGTCATGGTGGTTTGCTGCACCTGTCAACCCATCACCTAGGTATTAAGCCCCACATGCATTACCTATTTGTCCTGATGCTCTCCCTCCCCTCACCTCCCACCCCCCACCAGGCCCCAGTGTGTGTTGTTCCCCTCCCTGTATCCACGTGTTCTCATTCTAAACAAGATTTTTTCAAATCGAATCAAAAAATTTATTAAAACTATAACCACAGGGGATTTATTCCAAGAATCCAGAGTTGGTCTAACATTCAAAATCAATGTAATTCATCATGTGAACAGACTAAAGATGACCAATCATAGGATCATCTCAGTCAATTCAGAAGAACGCACTTGACCAGATTCAACACCCACTCCTGATAAGAACTCTCCTAAAAATAGAATATAACTTCCTCATCCTCATAATGGCATTTATAAAAAGCCTGCAGATGACATCATACTTAAACACTAATGCTTTCCCCTGAAATCAGGAACAAGACCAAGATACCTGCTCTCACCACTTCTAATGAACATGGTGCTGGAAAGCACAGCCAGGCAATCGGGAAGGTGAATACACTTAAAAGATCTAGATTGGAAGGGGGAGTGAAACTGTGACAGATGATGTGATCATCTGTGCATAATCGAGTATCTATAAAAGGCAGCGGCAGTTGTCCCTTGATATCCACGGGGCATGGGTGCCAGCACCCCTAGGACACAAAATGTATGCGTGCGCTAATCCTCTACATAAAATGGCATAGTCTTTGCATATAATCTACATACATCTTCCCATGTACTTTATTTATTTATTTATTTTTTTAAGACAGAACCTCTCTCTATCACCCAAGCTGGAGTGCAGTGGTGTGATCTAGGCTCACTGCAACCTCTGCCTCCTGGGTTCAAGCAATTCTCCTGCCTCAGCCTCCCGAGTAGCTGGGACTACAGGCAACTGCCACCACCCCTGGCTAATTTTTGTATTTTTAGTAGAGACAGGGTTTCACCATGTTGGCTAGACTGGTCTCGAACTCCTGACCTCAGGTGATCCACCCGCCTCGGCCTCCCAAAGTGCTGGGATTACAGGCATGAGCCACCACGCCTGACCACATCCTCCCGTATACTTTAAATCATCTTTATATCATGTTAAAATTTCTATTAGGGGCCAGGGTCAGTGGCTTACGCCTGTAATCCCAGCACTTTGGGAGGCCGAGGCAGGTGGATCATTTGAGGTCGGGAGTTTGAGACCAGCCTGGCCAACATAGCAAACCCCTGTCTTTATTAAAAATACAAAAAAAATTTAGCCAGGCATGGTGGTGTGTGCCTGTAATCCCAGCTACTCTTGTGGCTGAGGCAGGGTGCGGTGGCTCATGCCTGTAATCCCAGCACTTTGGGAGGCTGAGGTGGGCAGATCACCTGAGGTCAGGAGTTCAAGACCAGCCTGGTCAACACAGCAAAACCCTGTCTCTACTAAAAATACAAAAAGTAGCTGGGTGTGGTGGTGGGCGCCTGTAATCCCAGCTACTTGGGAGGCTGAGGCAGGAGAATCACTTGAACCTGGGAGGTGGAGGTTGCAGTGAGCCAAGATTGTACCATTGCACTCCAGCCTGGGTGATAAAGCAAGACTCCATCTCAAAAAAAAAAAAAAATTAAAAGCAGGTCTTGAAAAGATATTTGCACACTCATGTTCACAGCAGTTGAAGCCACCCAAGTGCCCCTTGACAGATGAAGGGATAAACAGAATGTGGTCTGTCCTTACAGTGGAATATTATTCTGCCTTGAAAAGGAAGGAAGGAAATTCTGACACAGGCTACAATACATAGATGACATGAGGCCGAGTGAAATAAGCCAGACACAAAAAGACCAACACGGTATCATTCCACTTATTTGAGGTATCTCAAGTTGTCAGATTCATAGCAACAGAAAGCAGAATGGTGGCTACCTGAGGCTGGGGGAGAGCGGAGGGTGTGTTTAGTGGGAGCAGAGTTTCAGTTTAAGAAAAATGAAGGTGTTCTGGAGCTGAATGCTGGTGATGGCTGCACAGCATGGTGACATAGTCAATACCACTGAGCCACGCACTTAAGACTGCGTAAGATGAGAAATTCTGTTATGTGTATCTTTCCATAATAAAAAGTCCCAAAAAATCAATTGTATCTCTCTATATTAGCAATAAATAATTGGAAATGGGAACAAACAATATCATTATAACGGTACAAAAATATGAAATACTTAGGGAAAAATCTGACAAAGGATGTGAAAGACGAGTACGCTGAAAACTGTAAACCATTGGGAGGGAAATTAGAGACCTGCAGAAACAGGTATGTACACCTTGTCCATGGGCTGGAAGACTCCATATTGCTAGGACGTAAGTTCTTTCTAAACTGATAAATATATTTAATGCAATTTCAGTCAAAATCCCTGCAGGCTTTTTTTTTTTTGGTAGAAACTGACAAATTGAGACTAAATTCAGAGGGAAATGCAGAGGACATAGAAGAGCCAACGCAGTCCTGAAAAAGGGGCAAAGTTGGAGGAAACTGAAACATTGGCTGGGATTGAGAACTGTTACAAAGCTACAATAATCAAAACAGTGCAGCATTAGCATAATGACAGACAAATAGGTCAATGAACAGAGTAAAGTCCAGAAACAAATTCATGTGTATATAAACAATAATTATTTTTTCTTTAAAAAAATTTTTTTTTGAGACAGGGTCTGACTCTGTCACCCAGGCTGGAGTGCAGTGGCATGATCTCAGCTCACTGCAACCTCTACACCCTGGGCTCAAGTGATCCTCCCATCTCAGCCTCCCCAGTAGCCATATAGGCACATGCCACCCCACCTGGCTAATTGAATTTTCAACAAAGGAGCAGAAGTACTGCAATGAAGAAAGAATAGTCTTGTCAACAAATGGGGCTAGAACAATTGGATATCCATACATAATAAGACAAACTTCAAGCCATACCTCATACTACATATAAAAAATTAACTCAAAATGCATCATGGAAAACCCCAAACTATAAAATTTCTAAAAGAAAACATAGGGGAAAATATTTGTGTGATCTTGGGTTAGGCAAAGATTTCCTACATGTAATACCAAAGGCAAAATTTATAAAAAAGTAAATTGATCAATTGGATTTTATCAAAATTTTGAAACTCCTACTTTAAAAAACACTATTGAGAGAATGAAAAGACAAGCCACAGACTGGGAGAAATATATCTACAAAGGATCTCTCCAATAAAGGACTCGTATCTAGAATACATAAATAATGTTTAGATCTTAAAAAGAAACCCACCCCAATAACCCAATAAATAATGGGCAAAAGATTTGAGTAGGCGTTTCACTAAAGAAGACATATGGGGCTTATAAGCCTGGGAGTAAACTGACTTTTTTTTTTGTAAGAAATTAGATATCCTAAGTTAAACAGTCACACAAGGATGTGAGGAGAAAGTGCTTTGACAGGAATTGCTATACTAGTCACAAGTACATTACCAAAGATTTCTCTATAATGGATTTAATATTTAAACACAGCACCCAGTATTTGTTGAAAAAGCAAAACTATATAATAGGGGTTTTTAAAATAATTTTTTTTTTGAGACAGTCTCACTCTGTTGCCCAGGCTTGAGTGCAGCAGCACGATCTTGGCTCACTGCAACGTCTGCCTCCCGGGTTCCACTGATTCTCCTGCCTCAGCCTCCCAAGTAGCTGGGATTACAGGTGCGCCACCACGCCTGGCTAATTTTTGTATTTTTAGTAGGGATGGGGTTTCATCATGTTGGCCAGGTTCATCTCAAACTCCTGACCTCAGGTGATCCGCCTGCCTTGGCCTCCCAAAGTGCTGGGATTACAGGTATAAGCCACTGTGCCTGGTCTAAAATAAAGTTTTTTAAAAAGTGAAAAAAAGAAGACATATGGATGGCAGATAAGTGTATAAAAAAATTCTTAACATCATTAGTCATTAGTGAAATACAATTTCAAGTAATAATGAGACAACATCACACACTTACTGGAGCGGCTAAAATTAAAAAGACTGACCATCCCAAGTGTTGACAAGGCTGTGGGGTAACGGATGTCTCATACACTGCCGGTGGGAATGTAGAAAGGTACAACCACTTTGGAAAGCAGTTTAGCGATTTCTCAAAAAGTTGAACATAGACCTACCTGTCTGATCCAGATACTCCACTCCTAGGTATTTACCTGGCAGAAAAGAAAGTGTATGTCCACACTAAGATTACACAAATGTTCGAAGCAGTTTTGTTCGTAGTGGCCTCAAATGGACAATGAGCCCAGTGTCCATTAGCAGGGAATGAATGAGCCCAGGAAGGAATGAGCTATTTACACAGCAATGCTGGATGCAATCTCAACATAATTATGCTTAGTGAAAGAGACCGAAGAATGCATACTGTATAGTTCCATTTACACAGAATCCTAGAAAATGCAAACAAATCTGCAAAGTCCTAGAAAATGCAAACAAATGCCATGGAAAAGAAACCCTGGGTAGCTCCCGAGTGGGGAAGGGTGGGAGGGAGAGATTCCAAAGAGGTGTAAGGAGCCCTGTGTGGGTGATGGGTGGGGACATATTCATCCTGATTGGGGTGGTGGTTTCCCAAGTTCAACCAATTTATGTCAAAACTGACCCAATCATACACGTAAACATGTGCGGTTTATTGTATGTCAATTCTAACTCAGTTAAGCTGTTTTAGCCTGTGTCAACGCACTTTCCTGACCAGTAAATCCTAAGTGTTTTCCTTGTTGCCACATAAAATCCTAGTCATAATTTATAGTGGATGCATGTTATTCTAGAGTTGTTTGGCTCTTAGAGATTTAAAATTAATCAGAGAAATATATTAGAGCCCAAACTATAGTGACAGTAAAAAATGACCAGTGCTTGCCAGGGATTTGTGGGGAAGGATGGAATAGCTGAGACACAGGGCATGTGTTAGGGTGGTACAACCATTTTGCATGCTACTATCCTGGTGGATATTTGACACTCTACATTTGCAAAACCCAGAAAACTTAATAGTGCAAAGAGTGAACCTTGATGTACACAAACATAAAAATATTCAGGAGGTTGAGGGATGCCACAGATGAAATGCGGAATGTGGCAAAACAATCCAACTGTATTTCAAATGCATGAAATAAACTCACAGAAGGGGGCGGGGGTGGAGGGATGTTGAAGGGCCCTGACCTTTGGGCACTTCGGCAAGGAGCAAGGGGGCACTGAGATTCCTGCCCTGGGGCTACGACACCACCCAGGAACCCCTGATCTTTCTGTTACTTATGACTGGGGTTTCTCCAAAAAGCAACAGTCTCCTTTGCAAAAAGTGGCCACACCATTATCAAGCGGTGGACAGTGTAAGTTTGGGGCTGGGAAGATTCTCTGGGACCACATTGCAGCTCTGCCATTCTTGGGCTGGGTGAGCCGAAGGAGTGCTTTCACCCTCTCTGAGTCTCAGTTTCCTTGTCTATAGGATGGAGTGAGGTGAGTGCCTTCCTCCCAGGGTTGAGGGCTCCAGTGAGGTGGGCCTATAGAGCAGTTGGCCTGTACTTGCTCATCATGAGCTCTTGTGAGGTGGAGCCCTGTGGAGCTGCCACAGAAGGTGAACTCCAGTACCAGGGAGATTTCATTTGTCCATCCTTTTACCCACCCACCCACCGATTAATCCATCATCCACCCACCCACCCACCCATCCACCCACCCACTCATCCATCTATCTGTCCATTTGTCCATCCATCCATCCATCCATCCATCCATCCATCCATCCACTCATCCACTCATCCATCTCTCCATTCATCCATCCACCTATCCAGTCACTCACTCACATATCCATCTATCCATCCATCCTTTCATCCATCCATTCTTTGACCCATCCACACATCCATCCCTCCATTCATCCATGCCTCCATCCATCCACCTATCCATTCACTAACCCATCTATCCATCCATCCATCCATCCATCTATCCATCCATCCTTCCATTCACCCATTCATCCACTCATCCATCCATCCATCCATCCACTCACCCACCCATTCATCTATCCATCCATCCACCCACCCATTCATCCATCCCTCCCTCCCATCCATCCATCCCTGACCCATTCATCCATCCCTTCCATCCATCCATCCATCCATCCATCCATCCACTCACCCATCCACCCATCCATCCATCCCATCCATCTACCCACCCACTGACCCATTCATCCATCCTTCCCTCCCTCCCTCCCATCCATCCATCCTTTCATTCACCCATTCATCCATCCATCCACCCACCCACCCATTCATCCATCCATCTAACGATCTGTCCCTCCCTCCCTCCATTTATCCACTCATTCACCCAGCCAACCACCCATTCATCCATCCGTCCACTCATTTACCCACTCATTTATTGATCTATTCATCCATCCATCCATCCATCCATCCATCCATCCATCCATCCCATCCATCTACCCACTGACCCATTCATTTCCCCTCCCTGCTTCCCATCCGTCCATCTATCCATCCATCCATCCATCCACCTGCTGACCCATTCATTCCCCCTCCCTTCCTCCCATCCATCCATCCATCCATCCATCCACCCACCCACCCACCCACCCACCCACCCACCCACCCAGAAGCAAAGTTATTGAGTGCATCTGCTGTGAGGGTGGCCATGGGGGGCCCACATGGGCTGCTGCCCTTGCAGCATTCGGAGCAGGATGGCCAGCAAGGGTCACACAGTGTGGCCAGGGTGGTGAGAACAGTGTTCAGTGTGAGGATGTGACACCTGGACCAAGTCTTGAGGGGCAAGTGCCCCAGGGTGTCTGGACTCCTGAAGCACAGCTATCCACCTGATGGCCCTGGCCCTGGGCTGCCCTTTCCTCAATGGAGCCTGCCCAGTGCCCGCCTGCCCAGCAGAGGCCTGGACTGGTTGAGGCCTCTCTTGATCCCTCACCTGAGAACAAACGCCTCTGTGTGCTCACTTGCTCACCCTCCACACCTCACAGAGCAGTGGCACCAACATCCCGCCTTTCACCTCTGCAGTCCTTGGGAGGTGAAGTGCACACCTCCAGGTGTCTCCGAACCTTTGGAGCCCCAGAAAGTGGACATGCTTGGGGTGTCTGAGTCTGCCCTGGAGAGCTGGACGTGACTGGTGTTTTATTTGCCCTCCCTTGAATCCTCAGATGCTCACCTGCCAGGGTGTAGGTCTGGGCCTTGCCACTGTGTCCCTGTGTGGGGCTGGGGTTGGAGCTGGGGTCCTCCTTGGTGTCCAGAGGGCTGAGAACCACGGCTTCTCTGGGTGTGCTCTCCATCTGCCCACCAAGGCAGGGCCAGAGCTGTGGCGCTGGGGTTGGGTGCCAGCCCCCACCACCCTGGTTAAGCCCAGTTGGCTGGGGGCTGGGCAGCCTGGTGCTGGCAGGGTTGGCTGTGGCAGGATGGCTCTGGCCTGCAGAATGGGTGTGGGCCAGCCTGGCCTCTTGTGTCCTGAGATGCTGGCCTTGAGATGGAGACACAAGATGCTCGGTGACTCAGTTTCCCCTTCTGTAATGTGAGCTAATAATCAGACCAACCACATAGGGACATGGAAAAATGGCCCCAGATGACACATGTGACTGACATGTGGGCAGCCTGCACTTGCTGGAGGCCGACATTTCAGTAATCAGCAATGGGGGCCACGTTTGGACCAACACAGGATGTAGGGAGACAGGGGCTGCCACGTGGGGATACCTAGGGCTGCGGTGTGGGCGGGTGGAGTGCTCTCCAGGAAAGCAGGCTCTGTGACTGGTCTCCCGCCCCCGTGGGAGAGGTATTGGCCACATGGGGAGTGCTTGCGGGGGTGGGTGGTGATACTCCAGGGAAGCAATCAGTGGGGCATGGGCCATTACTTCAGGCAGCCTAGGGTGGGCCTCAGGCTGGAGACCCCCGGAGGCCATCAGGAGGCAGCACGTCCTGGAGGCAGCACGTCCTGCTCCTTGGAGGACCAAGGTCTTTTCTTTCAAGGCCCTGCACTGATTGTGTCAGACCCACCTGCTTCGCCAGGGTCACATTTAAGAAGTCCCTTCACAGCAGCATCCAGCCCGGCGCCATGCCAAAGACTGGAGCCATGGCCAGACAGGCCGACTCACAAAGCCACCGTTCGAGCGACCGGGACGTGTGCAGGGGACGCACCTGCTGTCTTTGGCTCCCCCAGCAGCATAGGGGTTCTCTCTTCTCGCCCCCTCCCCAGCCTCCTCTTCCCCTTCCCCTTCCTCCTCCTCCTTTCCCTCTCCCTCTTCCTCCGGTGGCTCTGACCCCCACATGCCCCTCACCCGGGCTTCCTGGTGAGTCAGGTTTGTGGATACACAGTAGGGGGGCCGTCACTTCAGGTGCCATGTGACGTCAGTGCTGCCTCCTCCCTGCAGTCACTACTGCAAATTCCATGCAGCCGTTGGCAACAGTGTCTTGTCACGGTAAACATGTTGGGCGTGGGCAGGGTGGGGAGAGGCTGGGGGGGCCAGGATGCTGTCTGTGTGGGAAGCTGTACTCCAGGATGCTGTCTGTGTGGGAGGCTGTACTCCAGGATGCTGTCTGTGTGGGAGGCTGTACTCCATGCAGCCTCGTTCTGAGTCCCAGCCGGGGCCTGAGGCTGGGGCAGCCTGACATGGGGCTGGGGATGTGGGCTCCTGGCTCAACTGTGTCCGGCCCGCCGTTGGGTGGGTGGTCATTCCCACCACTGCCATCATGTTCTTGTCACAGAAAGCAGAACCGACAAGCATTTTCCTCGGAGTGGTCAAAGCCCCCACTCTCTCCCTCCACCAGGGTCCCTCGAACCCCATGGGAAAGCCACAGAGTGGCGATGGGGTCCCAGGGCAATACGGCTGCCCACTCTCCCACTCTGCACTTGCTGGAGGCCGACATTTCAGTAACCAGCAATGGGGGCCACATTTGGACCAACACAGGACGTGGGGAGAGAGGGGATGCAGTGCTGTGGAACTGCCTGGCCCCCATCGCCTCCACCACCACAGTAGATGCTGCGAATCTGGCAGTGGGGACCGGCTGAGGCTTGGAGGCAAAGAGGCTGGGGACACTCTCGCTTTGGGGGTGCCAGTGACTCCATAGTCGCCCCGGCCTGATGGAGCCCTCACTGTCCTCTTCCCCAGAACAGCTCCCTTTCCCCGTTAGGAATGGGGTTCAGCTCTCTGCACCCTGCCCCATGCAGGGCTGCCTGTAACCTCAGACAGGGCTCCTACCTGGGACCTTGCCATGGGCCAAGAGGGGTGTTGGGGTCAGACCCCTGAGCCTGGGAACCACCACTGCCCGTCCAGAGGGGACACAGGGTCAGATCTAGGGGACCTACCTCAGGCTTCAGGGCTGGAGGGGCTGTGCTGGGCAGCTTGTGCTCCGCTAGGATTCCTCCAATCCCCCCAGGGCAGGGGGAGCCTGGCCTGGAAAATCTCTGTCCTGAGGCCCGCCTGGGGCATGTCAGGGTCAGGGGACTGCAGTTGGGGCCGTCCTTGGGTTTCCCCAGGGCTCAGTGCCAGTGTGCGGAGGCCCACACCAGGAAGTGAACAATGATCTCCTCTGGCCTCGCCCAGCTGGCTCTGGTTTCCTAATCCCCGGTCCTCCTGGCAGGGGCCACACACTGAGCTTCCTCCACGTGCCCAGGTCCTGGCAGGGAGCGCAGACCCTGGGGCCTGGTGCTGGCGGGCACCGCAGGAGGGCGGGAGGGGCTTCGTCCCAGGCCCTGGGTCTGGGCAGCAGGTCAGCCAGGGAAACAGGCTTGGTGCTTTGGGCCCCGAGTCTCTATAACTGTTGGGGTGAGTCCCTCCCCACTGCCATCATGCTGCCGGCATGTCCCTGGCATGTTCAGGCCAAAGCCAGGAACTCAACTCAGGGCCCCTCTCTATTTTCAGGAGGAGAAAATTGTAGAGAGAGGGGAGGGCCCCCAGACCTCAGTTTACCCACTGGCGACACAGGGGTGCCTGCCTGTGCCCTCCCGGGCCGGGGCAAGCAGTGGTGGGCCCAGTGGTCTCGTAGTCTGGGGTCGGTGTGAGTTCCGGTTCTCCAGGCTTTTTTCCAGACAACTGCTGGGATTGGTGGGCGAGACCAAGGCTCATCAAAGGCACAGCCTTGGGGGCAGGATCCCCACCATGAGTCAGAGGTAGTTCTGGGGAGCCTGGGCAGGCTGTCACCTCCTCAGCTGTCAGGCCCGAGGTCCTCATGTGGTCCCCAGGAGAAGGGGCAGACGGCCACTTCCGGCCACCAGCCAGCTCCCTGTGTGCCTGATTCCGTAACATGTCCCCTGGCTGGGCATGTACTCCCCAAGTTCTAATTACATGTAACTGCAGAGAAGGGCTCAGCCTGGGAAAAGGATGGGCATAGGGGGTGGTTGGGGGCTGGGGCCTCTGACACAGCTCCATGAGCCCGGCCAAGAGTCCCACACAAGTCAGTGGCCCCCCCGGACCCTGAAGGATCCCACATCCTCCCTGCCCTCGGGGAGGCCCCTTTCTGGGGTCAGGCCTGGAAGCTGCCCCAGAGCTTGGGCCCCAGGAATGGGTTGGTCCTCCCAGCGTAACGTGAGCCTGATCAGGCCTGGGGACCTGCTCAGCGGGTGTCTGGGGGCCCATGGCGGGCTAAGGAGCCTGACCAGACTTGCTTCTGGCAGGACACCCCTCCCCCGGCCACCCTGGGCTCGCCCCTCTAGTAGCTGCATGTGTTCCCCGGGTGTGTGTTGGCATTCAGGCTACAGGGCTGCCTCATCCTGAAGAAGGCTGCGTTTACCCAGGGAGCCATAAAGAGATGACCTCCGATAACCTGAATCAATATTTCCCCATTGGGGCTCGGGCCCCCGCAGCTGTCTTCTTGATCATCTGGCAGATGCCACACCCACCCTTGGCCCTCCCCTGCCTTCCTGCCCTCCTACCCTCCTGCCAGGACATATAAGGACCAGACCCCTGCCCCCGGGCGCAACCCACACCGCCCCTGCCAGCCACCATGGGGCTGCCACTAGCCCGCCTGGCGGCTGTGTGCCTGGCCCTGTCTTTGGCAGGGGGCTCGGAGCTCCAGACAGGTGAGAGAGCAGACACAGGGGTCTGGGGCCTGGCAGAGTGTCCTGGGGGCAGGGCGAGGCGGGCGGGCAAGTCGCGTCTGGGAGGAGGAGCTGGTCCCAGAGTGCAGCCTGCGCGGCTCTGCTGAGGCTCCTGGCCCGGGTTGGTCCCTGGAAGCCCCCGGCCCTGCTGACTTTCAAGGAGCTGGAAGGTCGGGGCTCCCCTGCTATTCCTTTGGGGTTGACTGCCCGACGACAGTGTGGGTCTTGGGGCCAGCACCAGGTGGAAACAGCAGGTCAGGCCCCAGTGAACTGGGTCATTGTCCATAGGGGAGGAAGGGGTGGCCAGGATCCCACCAGAAGGCCCCATTCTCAGGTGGCAGAGACCCTTGAAGAGTTGGGGCAGCACAGCCCTTGCTGGGGAGCGGGGTGCCCAGAATGCCCTCTCCTACATCCCGCTTGGCACCCGGCCGCACTCCTCACCAGGCCGGGGGTAGAAGCCCTGAGACCCCTGTGGTGGGGTGACCAAGGCCCAGCAGAGGGCCCGAGGATAGGAAGGAACCTTTCCCGGCCAGGGGCCCTGTGCTGGGCTCGAAGCTGCTTCCAGGTGCTTCTTCAGGGGCCTTCTCTCGAGGGTAGCTTGGGCAGCCTTCCCCCTCCGGGGCCACTCACCCCTCATTCCCCGCTGCTCCCTCAGAGGGCAGAACCCGAAACCACGGCCACAACGTCTGCAGCACCTGGGGCAACTTCCACTACAAGACCTTCGACGGGGACGTCTTCCGCTTCCCCGGCCTCTGCGACTACAACTTCGCCTCCGACTGCCGAGGCTCCTACAAGGAATTTGCTGTGCACCTGAAGCGGGGTCCGGGCCAGGCTGAGGCCCCCGCCGGGGTGGAGTCCATCCTGCTGACCATCAAGGATGACACCATCTACCTCACCCGCCACCTGGCTGTGCTTAACGGGGCCGTGTGAGTGTGGTCGGTGGCACCCCTCCCACATCCTAGCAACGGGGGCTGATGTTTCCCAAAGGGATATTCCTTGTAGCCCTAGAAGACCCCTTCCGCCCCAGCACACAGCTCAGGAGAACAGCCTTGAGGTTTGGGTTCAGGTCACTAATTCATTCAACAAACACTGATGAGCCCCCACCATTCCCCCCATAGGCAAGGGGTTTCAGTTATCCCTTTGCCTGTGTGTCCCTGACAGCCCCTCCCCTCGGAGCCCACCAGGCTCCGGACAGACTTGGCACCCCTGGAGGCTGCATGTCTCTGGTCCTGTGCATGGAGTGGCCGTGTGTGCCCTCCCCAGGCTAGAGTTACAGAAGCCGGTGCAGGGGGCTGTGGGACCCCCTTCCCCATCCCCAGCTATTGCTCCCCTATTGTCTCCAGAACAATGAGGCCCTGTAAGTGCGTTCCCATCCAGCGCCTGCCCCTCTTCTGCCTGGGGATTTAGTTTCCTGCAAGGGGCCCCAGCATGGGCATGGGCAGGCGGGTGGAGGCCCTCAGGCATGGGCATGGGCAGGCGGGTGGGTAGAGGCCCTCAGGCGTGGGTGCAGGCAGGTGGGTAGAGGCCCTCAGGCATGGGCATGGGCGGGCGGGTGGGTAGAGGCCATCAGGTGTGGGCGTGGGTGGGTGGGTAGAGGCCCTCAGGCATGGGCGCGGGCGGGTGGGTGGGTAGAGGCCCTCAGGCGTGAGTGCGGGCGGGTGGGTGGATAGAAGCCGTCAGGCATGGGTGCAGGCGGGTGGGTAGAGGTCCTCAGGTGTGGGCATGGGCAGGTGGGTGGGTAGAGGCCGTCAGGTGTGGGCGCGGGTGGGTGGGTAGAGGCCCTCAGGCATGGGTGCGGGCGGGTGGGTGGGTAGAGGCCCTCAGGCGTGGGCGCGGGTGGGTGGATAGAGGCCGTCAGGCGTAGGTGCGGGCGGGTGGGTAGAGGTCCTCAGGTGTGGGCGCAGGTGGGTGGGTGGGTAGAGGCCCTCAGGCATGGCACAGGTGGGTGGGTAGAGGCCCTCAGGCATGGGCGCAGGCGGGTGGGTGGGTAGGGGCCCTCAGGCATGGGTGTTGGCAGGTGGGTGGGTAGAGGCTTTCAGGCATGGGCAGGCAGGTAGAGGCCCTTGAGGACCGAGGCACAGAGGCTGGGGTGAGTGCCTCTACCTGGACCAGCAAGGGGCACTGGCAGGAGGTGGGGTAGGGCCCCTGACAGTCTCAGGGGCAGCCTGGGGGGCTCTGGGGGGTTTGGGACCCCATGGGGGGATGTTCCACCAAGCAGGGGGCCTGGAAGGGGGCTGGGCAGCCTGGTCCTCCCTCCTCTCCCAACCTGGTGCCCTCAGGGCCTCTGAGGGGGGACCCTGCCCAGGACCGTGCCCCGAGGAGGGAGTGGAGAGGAGGGGCGTGCAGGCAGGAGGTGGCTCTGCCGGGGAAGCCCGGCCAGCGGAGATGGACAGGTGCTCTTTGGCCACTGCCTATGTCCCTCCACCCCAGAGGCCGGCCAAGTTGGTGACCCCAGGGCAGGAGCTGGGCCTGGCAGAGCCATCTCCACCACCCCAGGCGCCCAGCTTCAGTCCCCTCTGGGCGGCGGGGTCCCGGGAGGACAAGCTGGGGCGGGGGGGCCTGGGTGGTGGACCCAAGAGTGACCCCGATGTGCCTCCGCCAGGGTCAGCACCCCGCACTACAGCCCCGGGCTGCTCATTGAGAAGAGCGATGCCTACACCAAAGTCTACTCCCGCGCCGGCCTCACCCTCATGTGGAACCGGGAGGATGCACTCATGGTGCTCAGGGGTCCCCGGACTCGTGGGGCTGGTGGGGGCTCCGTCAGGCCTCTGGGCAGACCCCAAGGGAGGGCAGGGAGGGCAGTGCTCTGACCCCTCACCGAGAGGGCATGGGTGGGGCAGGGCCTCGGCAGCGCGGGGCGTCGGTGCTGGACTTGGGGGGCAGCAGCAGAAGCCGACCTGGCCCTGACCCCCCCAGGCCTCAGCCTTCCCCCAAACGCACTCGGCTTCTCAGGGACCTGCCCTGCCAGGCCGCTCCCTGGCTGCTGACCCCAGCCTTCCTGCCCCACCTTCCTCTGGCTCAAACAAGCCACGAGTCTTGGGGGTTCCTGGCGGCTGTGGGCCGGGCGGGAGGCCAGCTCACCTGCTCCCTCCCGCAACAGCTGGAGCTGGACACTAAGTTCCGGAACCACACCTGTGGCCTCTGCGGGGACTACAACGGCCTGCAGAGCTATTCAGAATTCCTCTCTGACGGTGAGGCCCGGAGGGCTTGGAGGGGGCAGGGTAGGCTACGGGCCCCCAGGAGCCCTAGCTGAAGGGCCGTGCATCCCCAGGCGTGCTCTTCAGTCCCCTGGAGTTTGGGAACATGCAGAAGATCAACCAGCCCGATGTGGTGTGTGAGGATCCCGAGGAGGAGGTGGCCCCCGCATCCTGCTCCGAGCACGTGAGTCCCCTCGGTCTGGGGTGGGGGTCCTGGCGGAGCTGGCCTCTGAATAGCATGCTCACCCTGCGTCTGTCCCCAGCGCGCCGAGTGTGAGAGGCTGCTGACCGCCGAGGCCTTCGCGGACTGTCAGGACCTGGTGCCGCTGGAGCCGTATCTGCGCGCCTGCCAGCAGGACCGCTGCCGGTGCCCGGGCGGTGACACCTGCGTCTGCAGCACCGTGGCCGAGTTCTCCCGCCAGTGCTCCCACGCCGGCGGCCGGCCCGGGAACTGGAGGACCGCCACGCTCTGCCGTAAGCCCCGGCGCCTTGTGGGCAGGGGACCCCAGGGAGACCCCACGCTGGTGCTTTCCCCAAGCCCGGGTGGGAGCTGTGTCTGCGCCGGGCACCTTGAGCTGGGGGGACACTCACCGCACCGGGCACCTTGAGCTGGGGGAACACTCACCGTGCCGGGCACCGGGAGCTGGGGGGACACTCACCGTGCCGGGCACCTTGAGCTGGGGGGACACTCACCGTGCTGGGCACTGGGAGCTGGGGGGACACTCACTGAGGGCACCGGGAGCTGGGGGGACACTCACCGTGACGGGCACCGGGAGCTGGGGGGACACTCACCACGGGCACCGGGAGCTGGGGGGACACTCACCACGGGCACCGGGAGCTGGGGGGACACTCACCGCACCGGGCACCTTGAGCTGGGGGAACACTCACCGTGCCGGGCACCGGGAGCTGGGGGGACACTCACCGTGCCGGGCACCTTGAGCTGGGGGGACACTCACCGTGCCGGGCACCGGGAGCTGGGGGGACACTCACTGAGGGCACCGGGAGCTGGGGGGACACTCACTGTGACGGGCACCGGGAGCTGGGGGGACACTCACCACGGGCACCGGGAGCTGGGGGGACACTCACCACGGGCACCGGGAGCTGGGGGGACACTCACCACGGGCACCGGGAGCTGGGGGGACACTCACCACGGGCACCGGGAGCTGGGGGGACACTCACTGAGGGCACCGGGAGCTGGGGGGACACTCACCGCGCCGGGCACTGGGAGCTGGGGGGACACTCACTGAGGGCACCGGGAGCTGGGGGGACACTCACCGCGCCGGGCACTGGGAGCTGGGGGGACACTCACTGAGGGCACCGGGAGCTGGGGGGACACTCACCACGCCGGGCACCGGGAGCTGGGGGGACACTCACCGTGGGCTGAGAGCCCTTCTCGGTGCACTTCGGGGTGGAGCGGCTGCTGTGCCCCAGCCTCACCCTCACTGCGTGGCCTCTGCGGTTCCAGCCAAGACCTGCCCCGGGAACCTGGTGTACCTGGAGAGCGGCTCGCCCTGCATGGACACCTGCTCACACCTGGAGGTGAGCAGCCTGTGCGAGGAGCACCGCATGGACGGCTGTTTCTGCCCAGAAGGTGCGTGTGGAGGATGGCCCCGCCCCGGCACTGCCCACCAGATGAGAGGCAGCCCTGGCCTGGGGTTCTCGCCTGCGCTGAGGGGACGGCTCCGCTGGGTGGTGGGGGCAGCGGCGGCACAGAAGTGCCTCTCCCTCCACCCGATACCGGGGGAGAAGGGGCCTCGGTGTGAGGCCCTTCCCAAAGGGTGGCTTCAGGGAGGCCGGGAAGGGGGCTGCCTTCCTGGTTATCACCCTGGGGACAGACCTCCTCCTGCCCGGCCCCTGGCCTGGTGCCTGAGGCCTTTGGGAGCAGCTCGATTGTCAGGGGCAGGAAGGTGGCCTGGAGGCTGGACCCCCATGGCCAGACCCCAACCCAGGGACCAGGTGGGGACCGCAGGCGTCAGCACAGGGGACCAGTGGTGCCTGCGGGTGGGAGGCCTGGCTGGCAGCCCCTCGGTGGGGATTCTGGCTCTTTCTGAGCCAGCCGGGGTGACATCGCCTCCCTGGCTGTCCCAGGCACCGTATATGACGACATCGGGGACAGTGGCTGCGTTCCTGTGAGCCAGTGCCACTGCAGGCTGCACGGACACCTGTACACACCGGGCCAGGAGATCACCAATGACTGCGAGCAGTGGTGAGTCCCGGGGCCAGGGCTGGGCACAGCAGAGGCTGGGGCGGCTGAGCCCTGACCCTGTGCCCCGCTGCCCAACAGTGTCTGTAACGCTGGCCGCTGGGTGTGCAAAGACCTGCCCTGCCCCGGCACCTGTGCCCTGGAAGGCGGCTCCCACATCACCACCTTCGATGGGAAGACGTACACCTTCCACGGGGACTGCTACTATGTCCTGGCCAAGGTAGGCTGCCCAGGGTCTGGGGCATGGGGCAGAGCTGGGGCTGGCATCCAGGCCCTTGGCTGTCCCGGGGTGGGTGGGCTGGCTGTCCCTGAAGCAGAGGGTGCCTGTGGGCTGTCCTGGGGCAGGTGACCATGCTTCTGCTCTCTGGCTGGAGAATAAGAAGCAGGCCTTCCTTTCTAAGCCACTGCCGGGTCCTAGGGTGCAGGGTGCTGCCCGTCCCGGCCCTCAGCAGCTGCACTGCCTCTTGCCCCATCACAGGGTGACCACAACGATTCCTACGCTCTCCTGGGCGAGCTGGCCCCCTGTGGCTCCACAGACAAGCAGACCTGCCTGAAGACGGTGGTGCTGCTGGCTGACAAGAAGAAGAATGTGAGTGGTCCTGCCCCCTCCTTCTGGAGCCCCAGGTCCCCCGAGGGGGGCCCTTCTCAGCCCTGAGCAACCTCGGCCTTCCCTGCAGGTGGTGGTCTTCAAGTCCGATGGCAGTGTACTGCTCAACGAGCTGCAGGTGAACCTGCCCCACGTGACCGGTGAGTTGTGCCCCAGGGAGGGGCCCGGGCCCTTCGAGCTCCACTGGGCCTGCAGTGATTCGGACAGTCCAGCCACCTCGGACCCAGGAGGCTGGGTGGGAAGGTTCCACGGGGGGAGGGTCCCTGCGGCACCCAGCAGGCTCCGTCCTGGGTCCTCTGCTGGAGGGGGTGGTGGGAGGGTGACACCCTCCCGCTGCTCACCTGGGCCAGGCAGGTCCCGGGAGCCCCGCCCCTCGCCATGCCCCTTACTGTGTCCCTCATCGTGCCCCTGCCCACAGCGAGCTTCTCTGTCTTCCGCCCGTCTTCCTACCACATCATGGTGAGCATGGCCATTGGCGTCCGGCTGCAGGTGCAGCTGGCCCCAGTCATGCAACTCTTTGTGACACTGGACCAGGCCTCCCAGGGGCAGGTGCAGGGTAAGTGGCCCCACCGGGGTTGCCCCAACAAAGGCCCACAGGGGGGCCTGCTAGCCCCAGACTCTTCCCAACCCTGTCCTGGCCCCTCAGGCCTCTGCGGGAACTTCAACGGCCTGGAAGGTGACGACTTCAAGACGGCCAGCGGGCTGGTGGAGGCCACGGGGGCCGGCTTTGCCAACACCTGGAAGGCACAGTCAAGCTGCCATGACAAGCTGGACTGGTTGGACGATCCCTGCTCCCTGAACATCGAGAGCGGTGAGGCTCGGCAACACGGGCGCCCCCACCTAGCGTGCCTAGGGTACCCGGCCCATGGCCTGGAAGGGCAGACGGGGCTCCCAGCAGGAAGCATGGGTGGTGAGGGGCAGAAGTGAGGTGGCTCTCCTCCAGGGGCAGCCCGGCCCCTGCTGCTTCCTGCTGTGGCTAGTTTATGGCGGCCATGGTGGCAGCCTGCCAGGTGACCTGGAAGAGGGCCTGGGCTGGTCCCTACCTGCCCCGTCATGTCCAGGATGCTGGGCCCTTGGGGGTGAGAGACGGGAGGTGGTGGGTGCCCTGCAGGGGTTTCTATCTAGCCAGGAGCTGCCTGGAAATTTGACTCACGGGGAGGAAGGGGCCTGGGCATCGGTGCACAGAGGGAACCATATCTGGGGCCTAGGCAGCCAGGCAGCAGGGCCCAGGGGATCTCACGGGGGTCCCGGGCCCCGCTGAAGTTCCGATCCCCCACTCCCCAGCCAACTACGCCGAGCACTGGTGCTCCCTCCTGAAGAAGACAGAGACCCCCTTTGGCAGGTGCCACTCGGCTGTGGACCCTGCTGAGTATTACAAGGTGGGTGGGACCCACACCCCCAGGCCCCCATGCCATCGAGGTGGACTCAGGGCACCCCCAGCCCCCCATGCCACCCGTGAGGTGGACTCAGAGCACCCGGTTGGGCCCACTGGTTGCTGTGTGTGCGTGTGAGCTTGCATCTGTGAGCGCCGGGCCACACTCTGCCTCCCTGCCTCACTGCCCGTCCACCTTGCTCTGTCGCCCAGAGGTGCAAATATGACACGTGTAACTGTCAGAACAATGAGGACTGCCTGTGCGCCGCCCTGTCCTCCTACGCGCGCGCCTGCACCGCCAAGGGCGTCATGCTGTGGGGCTGGCGGGAGCATGTCTGCAGTGAGTGCCGTCCCCGTGGGCTGCATCCTGGGGATGGGGTCCGGGCTTTGAGCTCCTGGGACGGGGCTGGGGGCCCTGAGCACGGGTGGTCCAGGGAGAGGGGTCGGCCCCCTGCAGCCACGGACCAGGCTCCAGCTTCGTCAGCCGGTGGTAGCAGGAAACCAGCAACTCCTATAGCAAGGGGCGGCCACGTAGCAGGGGCAGAACCTGGGGTGGGCCTGGAGCTGTGGCGGCCGAGTGTGGGAGTGGGTCCCAGAGTGTGCACTCCCTGGCCCCCTGGCCACCCTGGGGATGGGAGCTGGGCGTCTGGCTCTTCCCGTCCCTCACACCACCCCGTGGTCCTCTGCAGACAAGGATGTGGGCTCCTGCCCCAACTCGCAGGTCTTCCTGTACAACCTGACCACCTGCCAGCAGACCTGCCGCTCCCTCTCCGAGGCCGACAGCCACTGTCTCGAGGGCTTTGCGCCTGTGGACGGCTGCGGCTGCCCTGACCACACCTTCCTGGACGAGAAGGGCCGCTGCGTACCCCTGGCCAAGTGCTCCTGTTACCACCGCGGTCTCTACCTGGAGGCGGGGGATGTGGTCGTCAGGCAGGAAGAACGATGGTGGGTACCTGCTCGGGGGTCAGGTGTGGCGTGGGGGCGGGGGAGCTCCTTCTGAACCTGCCCCAAGCGGAGACCTGGGAGTCTCTACCTGGGGAAGCTGAGACACCCAAGGCTGAGGGGTGCCTGGGGTGGGGGGCGCTGAGAGGCATCAGGCTCACATCTGCGGGGAAGCTGCGGGCTGTCTGTGGCCGTCCTGCATGGGCCCCGCTCATCCCTGGCCTTTTCCACAGTGTGTGCCGGGATGGGCGGCTGCACTGTAGGCAGATCCGGCTGATCGGCCAGAGTAAGTGGCACTGCCCCGGCCACCCCTCCCCAGCCACCCCTCCCTGCCTGCCCTGGCCACCCTCCCCGGCCACCCCTCCCGGGCCTGCCTGAGACCCCCAGCTTCAGCTGGAGCTGAGGTGGCCCCTCCGTCCCACAGGCTGCACGGCCCCAAAGATCCACATGGACTGCAGCAACCTGACTGCACTGGCCACCTCGAAGCCCCGAGCCCTCAGCTGCCAGACGCTGGCCGCCGGCTATGTGCGTGTTGGGGGCGCTGCTGTGGGCGGGCAGGGATTCCTGGCTGGCTGAGCCTGGCTCTTGTGCTGTGCCCCCGCTAGGGTCTGGGTGCCGAGTCCTGAGGACGCAGGCCCTGTTGATGCTGTCCCTGGCCCTGGGAGGGAAGTGGCAGCCTGTGAGCCACCGGGGCACAGGGGCCAGTGTAGGGCCCTTGGCCGGCAGCCCTCACCAGTCTCACTGCCCTGTGGCGGGCCCAAGGGGAGGGAAGCCTGAGCCCAGGCCAGGGGGAGTGGTGGGAGGTCTGGGACATGACAGAGACTGCACGGTCAGGCCTTTCCTGGTTGCACATCCAATCCTGACCCCAGGGAGGGCTGCAGCCTCACCTGTCCACCCCTGAACCCCACTCTCTGGCTGTCCCCAGTACCACACAGAGTGTGTCAGTGGCTGTGTGTGCCCCGACGGGCTGATGGATGACGGCCGGGGTGGCTGCGTGGTGGAGAAGGAATGCCCTTGCGTCCATAACAACGACCTGTATTCTTCCGGCGCCAAGATCAAGGTGGACTGCAATACCTGGTAAGCTGGCCCGGCCTGTCCTGGCTGCCTCCCAGGCCCCACGTGCTCCGCAGGGGTGGCCACTGGAGAGCGGTCCAAGGGGCAAGTGCCTCTCCTGGGGGTTCCGCCTGGGTCTTGCGAGATCCTGTGGTGGCCCCTGTCCCACGGGCAGGGTGGTCTCTCATGTCAACTGCTGGTCTTGAAGCCATGGGAGAAGGGACATTTGGAGCCACTTTTGGGGCCTGCAGGTGTCCTGTGTGGGAGGCACAGGGAGCTGTCTGCACGGTGCCCAGGGTCTCCTCCAGCCACCCATGAGCAGGTCCTGGGTCCCTTCAGGCTCCTCTCCTGTCCTCCTCAGCACCTGCAAGAGAGGACGCTGGGTGTGCACCCAGGCTGTGTGCCATGGCACCTGCTCCATTTACGGGAGTGGCCACTACATCACCTTTGATGGGAAGTACTACGACTTTGACGGACACTGCTCCTACGTGGCTGTTCAGGTGTGGTCACGGGCACTGCCTGGTCGGGCTGCTTATGGTCAGGGACCCTCTGCCTGCCCCAAGTGCAGTGCTTAGCTCCCCGAGAAACCCTGAGACTTGGGAAGGCCGGCCTTTCCTCAGCCCCAGACCCGCACCTGCACCCGCAGGAGGATTCGTTCTTCTAGCCAGGGCTGGGTAGGGGTGGTAAAACCCCTCTGTACTGCCCAGTTCTGTGGTTCTCCTCTGGGTCCTCCTCTGGGTTCTCCTGTGGGTCCTCCTCTGTGGTTCTCCTCTGGGTCCTCCTCTGGGTCCTCCCTCCTCTGGATCCTCCCTCCTCTGGATCCTCCCTCCTCTGGGTCCTCCCTCCTCTGGGTCCTCCCTCCTCTGGGTCCTCCTCCAGGTCCTCCTCTGGGTCCTCCCTCCTCTGGGTCCTCCTCTGGGTCCTCCTCTGAGTCCTCCTCTGGGTCCTCCCTCCTCTGGGTCCTCCTCTGAGTCCTCCTCTGGGTCCTCCCTCCTCTGGGTCCTCCCTCCTCTGGGTCCTCCTCTAGGTCCTCCTCTGTGGTCCTCATTTGGGTCCTCCTCTGGGTCCTTCTCTGGGTGCACAAGGTGGGTGCACCAGCCATGGGGACTGAGGGCACCTGTTTGGGGAGCTGAGTAAAGGCCAGGGCTAGGCCGCTGCCCGCGCGGCTCTCCAGATCCAAATCCCACAGCCCTTTGAGGCACCGTGATCCCCAGGGACAGGGGACAGGCCTGCAGCAGGGTCAGGTCCTTGGATGGGCCAGGCCAGGGCCTGGTTTGTCTGCTCAGTGGCTGTGACCCTGCCAACTGGGGCGGGTGTGCCCCGGGACACCTGGGGTCCAGCTGTCCTGGCTGACCTTGCCCTCCTGGCCCCCAGGACTACTGCGGCCAGAACTCCTCACTGGGCTCATTCAGCATCATCACCGAGAACGTCCCCTGTGGCACTACGGGCGTCACCTGCTCCAAGGCCATCAAGATCTTCATGGGGGTGAGTGCTGCTGGCCCTGGGGACGCGTGAGCCCTGCGGGACCCTCAGACCAGCCAGTGACTGGGCCTCTCCTCCGGGCAGAGGACGGAGCTGAAGTTGGAAGACAAGCACCGTGTGGTGATCCAGCGTGATGAGGGTCACCACGTGGCCTACACCACGCGGGAGGTGGGCCAGTACCTGGTGGTGGAGTCCAGCACGGGCATCATCGTCATCTGGGACAAGAGGACCACCGTGTTCATCAAGCTGGCTCCCTCCTACAAGGTGGGCTGCCTCCCTGCCTGCCCTGCCCCCTCCTGGCCAGCCCCCCACCCCCTGCCCTGGTGTTTGCAGGACAAGCCCCTGTCCTCCCTCCAGCCCCTTTTTGGAGCCCCTGTGATGCTTGTCTCTTGCAGGGCACCGTGTGTGGCCTGTGTGGGAACTTTGACCACCGCTCCAACAACGACTTCACCACGCGGGACCACATGGTGGTGAGCAGCGAGCTGGACTTCGGGAACAGCTGGAAGGAGGCCCCCACCTGCCCAGATGTGAGCACCAACCCCGAGCCCTGCAGCCTGAACCCGCACCGCCGCTCCTGGGCCGAGAAGCAGTGCAGCATCCTCAAAAGCAGCGTGTTCAGCATCTGCCACAGCAAGGTGGGCTGGCCGGGCCATGGTGGGGCAAGTAGGCAGAGGAGGGCTGTAGGTGGGCTGTGACTGTGGGCTGGGGCCATGGGCGGGGCCGACTAAGCAGAGCAGGGCTGTAGGTGGGCTATAGCTGTGGGCGGGGCCATGGGCGGGGCCGACTAAGCAGAGCAGGGCTGTAGGTGGACTATAGCTGTGGGCGGGGCATGGCGGGGCTAACTAGGCAGAGCAGGGCTGTAGGTGGGCTATAGCTGTGGGCGGGGCCATGGGCGGGGCCGACTAAGCAGAGCAGGGCTGTAGGTGGACTATAGCTGTGGGCGGGGCCATGGGCGGGGCCGACTGTAGGCAGAGCAGGGCTATGGGCTGACTGTGGGCGTGGTGAGGGTGCCGTAGAGCATGCTAATGACCAGGGCGTGGTCATAGCAGGGTAGGGTCTTGGGTGCTCCTGGGGCTGGGGGGCTTCTCCACATGCTCCCCACACCTTCAGGAGTCGCCCTGCTGCGTCACGCACCACACGGCGCTTGTCCTCCAGCTTTGGCTCTGGCCGCTGCCTCCTTTGGTCACATGACCGTATAATCGGCCTCCCCTCTGAGACCCTGGGCTGGACCCCCGGCCTCCCTCTGCCTCCCCAGGCTCAGATATTCACCCGGAGGGAGAAAGGACATGTGTCCCCCATGCCCACACATCCCCAGCTACAGGCAGCTGGGGAGGACGGGTTCTAGGATGGCCATGTTACAGCTGAGGATGCAGAGGGGTTGGGTGATGGGTCTGCACAGCCACGGCGGGACAGGTGTCTCTGGACCCTCTCCCCAAGGTTGGCCCTGCCGGGGCCCTGGCTGGCTGGTGCTGGGTAATGTGCCCTGTCCCAGGAGCAGGGCCGGCCTCAGGGTCCTGAGCTCCAGGGCACTGGGGAAGTCCTGGCTCCATGAGGGCAGGACGGGCCCAGGACAGACCAGGGTGTTCTCCCCAGGTGGACCCCAAGCCCTTCTACGAGGCCTGTGTGCACGACTCGTGCTCCTGTGACACGGGTGGGGACTGTGAGTGCTTCTGCTCTGCCGTGGCCTCCTACGCCCAGGAGTGTACCAAAGAGGGGGCCTGCGTGTTCTGGAGGACGCCGGACCTGTGCCGTAAGAGCCTGCCCGAACTGCACTCAGGGCCGGGACGGGGGCTGGGAGGTGCTGTATTGCGGGCCGGGGTGACACTCCTTGTCCATCCAGGTGATGGGTGTGCATCACCCACCCTTTCCCCGACTTCTCCAGTGTCCTTCTTTGGGGCCCTGTGGGACCCGGGTTGGCAGAGCAAGCTTGATGCGTCTGCGTCCCAGCCCCCGACCCCAGATTCGCCCTCACCCCGGCCCAGGCCTGAGCCCTCCTGCGTCTGACCCTGGCCCTGTCTCCCCCAAGCCATATTCTGCGACTACTACAACCCTCCGCATGAGTGTGAGTGGCACTATGAGCCATGTGGGAACCGGAGCTTCGAGACCTGCAGGACCATCAACGGCATCCACTCCAACATCTCCGTGTCCTACCTGGAGGGTGAGCAGGGTGGGGCGGGCTTCAGCGGGGGTGATGGCCGAGGGGCCTGGAGGCTGAGTGGGGCAGCCCTCGGGAGAGGCAACAGTCCACTGGCCTGGAGGGTGAGCCAGGCGGCCCTCGGGGGAGGCTACGGCCGACGGGCCTGGCACTGTGGGGCTGAAGGCTGATGTCTGGAGACCCATGGGGACACCCGGAGGGAGGCCTGACCCTCAGGGTACCCACAGCCCAGGGCAGCCAGGCTCCCCTTGCTGCAGGATCAGGAGGGAAGCAGGCTATCGTGGAAACTGGGAGTGGCAGGGGTGGGAGGTGCTGAGGTTCGTGCAGAGCAGGGCGGGTTGGGGAGCATTTCAGGCACAGGTCAGGGGAGGCCCCTGCCGGGTGCTGGTGTCTGAGCTGAGAACCAGTGACGTGAAGGAGGGACTGGTGGGAAGTTTGGGAGGAGTATCCCGCCATGGGAGAGGAACATGGGTCTTGGGACTCAGGGCTGCTCGGGGGGCCCGATGAGACTGGGCAGGGCTCCTCAGCAGGCAGCGTTCAGGGCTCAGTGGGGTGGGGAGATCCAGGCCCTGCCTTTCCAATCCCCGGCCTTCCCAGAGGGGCATCCTGCAGAGAAGGGCCTGCCAGGGTAGGGACGGTGGGTGGGGTGTGGTGGACTGCGGTGGTCCCAACCCTATGCCCTGTGTCCACCAGGCTGCTACCCCCGGTGCCCCAAGGACAGGCCCATCTATGAGGAGGATCTGAAGAAGTGTGTCACTGCAGACAAGTGTGGCTGCTATGTCGAGGACACCCACTACCCACCTGGAGCATCGGTTCCCACCGAGGAGACCTGCAAGTCCTGGTACCTAAGCCCACGTGGCAGGGGGCCTGGGGGAGCTGCACATATGGGCACATGAGTACACACACACGTGTGAGCACACAGTGTACACAGTACACAGACACACAACCGTTCCACATGGGTGCACATGCACACAAACGCACACAGCATACCACGTGCACACACACGGTCACATGCATGCATGGTGCACACATGCACACATGAATGGATGCCAACATGCAGGCACACACAGTCACACATGCACACAGCGCACACATGGACACATGCCTAGACGCAGATACCCAGGCATACACTCACGGTTACACACTCACGCACATATGCATGGATGCAGACACGCAGGCACACACGGTCATATAGTCATACACCACATGCACACATGCACAGACAGACACCCAGGCACACACAGTTACACAGTCACACATGCACACATGCATGGATGCAGACACGCAGGCGCACACACACATGCACAGTGCACACGTACACATGCCTAGACACAGATACCCAGGCACACACAGTCACACATGCATGGACACAGAGTCACATGTGCACACATACACACGTGTGGACAGACATAGGCACAGTCACGTGCACACATGCACTCACACTCAGTCACACATGAACATGTGCTCACATGCATGGACACTGACACGCAAGGACACACAGTCACACATGCACACATGCATAGACACAGACACCCAGGCACACACAGTTACACAGTCACACATGCATGGATGCAGACACGCAGTCACACAGTCACACATGCACACACTGCACACATGTACACATGCCTAGACACAGATATGCAGGCACACACACATAGTCAAACATGCACACATGCATGGACACAAAGTCACACGTGCACACATGCACACATGCATGGACAGACACAGGCACACACAGTCACGTGCACAGATGCACTCACAGTCACACATGAACACATGCTCACATGCACAGACACTGACACGCAGGCACACACAGTCACACATGTACACGTGCCTAGACACAGATACCCAGACACACACAATTACACAGTCGCACAGTCACACATGCATGGATGCAGACACACAGGTACACAAGGTCACACAGTCATATAATGCACACATGCACACATGCATAGATACAGACACCCAGGTACACACTCACGGTGACACAGTCACACATGCACACATGCATGGAGGCAGACACACAAGCACACACAGTCACACAGTCACACATGCACACAGGAGCCAGGCTACAGAGGTACCAGTCCCTCACTGCGGCGGGGGGTCTTCTGTTCTCATCCCATCCTCTGGGTCTGGCTTTTTCCTTCCTCTCCTCGCCCCTGCTCTGTTCCCACAGTTACAACCCAGTGGGGGGCTCTTCCGGAGCTGGCTTTGGGGCAGTGCCTGGGGGCTTTGGGCTCGGTACTAGCCACATGGGGAAGCTGGGGGTCTGAGCAGCGTGGGCGCGTTGTCAGTGGAGTGGGACTTGTAGCCATGTGCTTGCTTTGCAGCGTGTGTACCAACTCCTCCCAAGTCGTCTGCAGGCCGGAGGAAGGTAAGCTGCCCTCTGCTGCCAGCCCTGCGGTGGCCGGGCCCATCCTGGGGAAGCCTGTGGGGCCTTGGATCGGTGGGGGGTGCTGGTCTCCTCCTGGGCTCTGCCCCTTTGGTCCCCCCCCAGCTCAGACCCACCTCCGATGTGTATCAGCCCTGGGGGGCTGCTGTGACCCATTTTGTTTCTTCTGGGGTGTCGGTGTCCTGTGGGGAATTTCCGTCACCCTCTCCCGTGATCCAGCTTCTGCGTTCTGATGAGATTCCCTTTATTCAAAGAGAGGGGCTCTGGGACGGGTGCAGTCTCACTGGAGCATTTCTTAGCTGCTTGTGGGGGCTCGGGCACACCTGGCCTTCTTCCTATCTTGCTCCTGATGAGGTGATTCTTGGCCTCACCCTCACCCCCAGGAAAGATTCTTAACCAGACCCAGGATGGCGCCTTCTGCTACTGGGAGATCTGTGGCCCCAACGGGACGGTGGAGAAGCACTTCAACATCTGTTCCATTACGACACGCCCGTCCACCCTGACCACCTTCACCACCATCACCCTCCCCACCACCCCCACCACCTTCACCACTACCACCACCACCACCACCCCGACCTCCAGCACAGGTAAGGCCCCCTGGTTCCCTCCATGCTTCCTCGGGCTCTCACCTTCCCCTGCATCCAGCATCCAGCACAGAGGGCTCTTTCGGGGGCAGGCCCCGGCCTGGTGCAGCCAGGCTGTGACCCCTGCACACCAGCTGCAGAGTGAGGTGACAGTGGCATTCCTCTGCACTGAGGTGTGAGGGGGCCTGCCCTGGCTCCCCTGGCCTGGTGCATTGAGATAGTAGCATCCTGACCACATCCCCAAGCCCAGACCACAGTGGAGGATCACCTGGGGAGATTTCTGAAAACCAGCAGGAAACTATCCCTAAGGGTTAGAGAAATTTTCTTATGTTCCCCTGCGTTTGTTCTGGTTGAAATCCTAGCTACCACTGAACAAGCCACCAGGGGTATGATAGCCACAGAAAAAAGAAACTTTTTTTAAAAAAGGCAAGATTTTAAAAGATCTTGAACTATATAATGATATCCTCTTTTCTTCCTGCTTTATTGCAGTTTTATCAACAACTCCGAGTAAGTGACGGTGATGATATTCATGATGACAAGCAGGGTGGGAGGAGCGAAGTCTTATAAAATCACCTGCAGGATGCTTCCTTCAGGGCCCAGATGTGAGGCTGGCGGGGCTGGACTCCTCTGCTTATGGACCAAAGATGGATGTATTTTGGCCACTTCATTCATGGTTTGCTGAGGCCAGGGGCTAAAGTGAGACCTGATTGGCTGTCGGTGACAATATTGCTGGTTAAGAGTGGAGACAAAGCCCCTTCCGTCACACTTCCTTACTGGAATGGGAAGCTCTCTTGTTATTGATTCTTTGAAAAAAAAGTATTGAAAATAGCTGAGGAAAGGGTCCATCACACCCAGGTGTGGCCCTGGGTGGCCCCGTCTCTTTGGGCTCAGGTTTTCAGTTGCAAAATGAGGATGGAAGTGGTGTCCAGCCCTGAGCTCTCTGGCCCTGCACTCTGGTTTTTTGGCAATGACAGGGAAAAGAGAGATTGCAGCTGGGGGATGGTCATGGAGGTCCCTGGGTCCTCTGAATCCTGGTGGCTTCCTGGAGGTGCCTCTCCCCAGGTGTGAGAGACAAGAACTTGGTTTTGCTTCCCTAGAGCTGTGCTGCCTCTGGTCTGACTGGATCAATGAGGACCACCCCAGCAGTGGCAGCGACGACGGTGACCGAGAAACATTTGATGGGGTCTGCGGGGCCCCTGAGGACATCGAGTGCAGGTCGGTCAAGGATCCCCACCTCAGCTTGGAGCAGCTAGGCCAGAAGGTGCAGTGTGATGTCTCTGTTGGGTTCATTTGCAAGAATGAAGACCAGTTTGGAAATGGACCATTTGGACTGTGTTACGACTACAAGATACGTGTCAATTGTTGCTGGCCCATGGATAAGTGTATCACCACTCCCAGCCCTCCAACTACCACTCCCAGCCCTCCACCAACCAGCACGACCACCCTTCCACCAACCACCACCCCCAGCCCTCCAACCACCACCACAACCACCCCTCCACCAACCACCACCCCCAGCCCTCCAATAACCACCACGACCACCCCTCCACCAACCACCACTCCCAGCCCTCCAATAAGCACCACAACCACCCCTCCACCAACCACCACTCCCAGCCCTCCAACCACCACTCCCAGCCCTCCAACCACCACTCCCAGCCCTCCAACAACCACCACAACCACCCCTCCACCAACCACCACTCCCAGCCCTCCAACGACTACGCCCATCACTCCACCAGCCAGCACTACCACCCTTCCACCAACCACCACTCCCAGCCCTCCAACAACCACCACAACCACCCCTCCACCAACCACCACTCCCATCACCACCACCACCACGGTGACCCCAACCCCAACACCCACCGGCACACAGACCCCAACAACGACACCCATCACCACCACCACCACGGTGACCCCAACCCCAACACCCACCGGCACACAGACCCCAACATCGACACCCATCACCACCACCACTACGGTGACCCCAACCCCAACACCCACCGGCACACAGACCCCAACCACGACACCCATCACCACCACCACTACGGTGACCCCAACCCCAACACCCACTGGCACACAGACCCCAACCCCAACAGCCATCACCACCACCACTACGGTGACCCCAACCCCAACACCCACCGGCACACAGACCCCAACCACGACACCCATCACCACCACCACTACGGTGACACCAACCCCAACACCCACCGGCACACAGTCCCCAACCCCAACAGCCATCACCACCACCACTACGGTGACCCCAACCCCAACACCCACCGGCACACAGACCCCAACATCGACACCCATCACCACCACCACTACGGTGACCCCAACCCCAACACCCACCGGCACACAGACCCCAACCCCGACACCCATCTCCACCACCACTACGGTGACCCCAACCCCAACACCCACCGGCACACAGACCCCAACCACGACACCCATCACCACCACCACCACGGTGACCCCAACCCCGACACCCACCGGCACACAGACCCCAACCACGGTACTCATCACCACCACCACTACGATGACCCCAACCCCAACACCCACCAGCACAAAGAGTACAACCGTGACACCCATCACCACCACAACTACGGTGACCGCAACCCCAACACCCACCGGCACACAGACCCCAACCATGATACCCATCAGCACCACCACTACGGTGACCCCAACCCCAACACCCACCACTGGAAGCACGGGGCCCCCCACCCACACAAGCACAGCACCCATTGCTGAGTTGACCACATCCAATCCTCCGCCTGAGTCCTCAACCCCTCAGACCTCTCGGTCCACCTCTTCCCCTCTCACGGAGTCAACCACCCTTCTGAGTACCCTACCACCTGCCATTGAGATGACCAGCACGGCCCCACCCTCCACACCCACGGCACCCACGACCACGAGCGGAGGCCACACACTGTCTCCACCGCCCAGCACCACCACGTCCCCTCCAGGTAAGCAGAGCTGCTTGGTTCCTCTGGCCTGGGATGCTTCTTCCTCCCCTTGTGCCGGGCAGGACTGTCCCAGGAAGGCTCAAGGCACGTTCTGGGCGCCTCTCTGCCCACGAAGCTTGGTCACTGTGTGGGCAGAAGCCACTGACACTGGCCAGTGCTGGGCAGTGAAGCCAAAGGCCATTCCGCTTGCCCATAGGACAGCCTTCTGAGGAGCTGCTGACACCGGCCAGTGCTGGGCAGTGGAGCCCTTGGCTATCCTGCTCGCCCATAAGACGGCCTTCTTCAGGGGCCCACTGCTATGTGATGCGGTGCTGTGGGAGCCCATCAAGGCTGGGGGGCAGAGAGAGGCTGCCAGTGAGGTGCCTGCGGGTCCACCTGCTTCTGGCTGCAGCCCCTCCTTGGGGCCTTTTCCTGGTGGACGGCGTGCCACAGCCAGTGCCTTCTGGACGCCTCTTGCTGGCCATCGGCTTGGCCAGCAAGCTGTGTTGCTGCCAGAGCACCAGGTCACCTGCAGGCTCTCGTGACACTCGGCTGTGGTGATACTGGCCTTGCCGCTCCACCCTGCCTGGTGACTCTGAGAGCCTGGGAGGTGGGCACGAGGCCCTGGTCCTCCAGTTCTGCCACCCGGTCGGCTGTCTGGCTCCCTTGCAGCTGGGGAGTGGCAGTTGGGACCCTGTGGCATCTGAGATGTGCAATGTCTCAGCCCTCACTGGTGTCTCCTGCTCTCACAGGCACCCCCACTCGCGGTACCACGACCGGGTCATCTTCAGCCCCCACCCCCAGCACTGTGCAGACGACCACCACCAGTGCCTGGACCCCAACGCCGACCCCACTCTCCACACCCAGCATCATCAGGACCACAGGCCTGAGGCCCTACCCTTCCTCTGTGCTTATCTGCTGTGTCCTGAACGACACCTACTACGCACCAGGTACTCAGGCTGTTCACATCCTGTGCTTGGGTGGCCGAGGCTGGCCCCGGCATGTACCAATGGGTCAGGTGCCAGGGCTGAGATCGCAGTAGAAGCGTCTCAGGAGGCAGCAGCCGTCGAGGGTGGCTGTGTCCAGGGCACGGCTTCCCTTGGGTGGCCTCTGTGGGGACCTCCGCTGTGGGGACCTCCACGGGGTCCAGCGGCTAGCCCTGCCTCCGGATAGCCCTGCCTCTGGACGGTGTGATCGTGGGTCTGTCTCCCTTCGCAGGTGAGGAGGTGTACAACGGCACATACGGAGACACCTGTTATTTCGTCAACTGCTCACTGAGCTGTACGTTGGAGTTCTATAACTGGTCCTGCCCATCCACGCCCTCCCCAACACCCACGCCCTCCAAGTCGACGCCCACGCCTTCCAAGCCATCGTCCACGCCCTCCAAGCCGACGCCCGGCACCAAGCCCCCCGAGTGCCCAGACTTTGATCCTCCCAGACAGGTCAGTGGGCTGCAGGCGGCTTTGTCCCCATGGCACTCTGCGCAGCATGTCCGGGCAGCTGAGGCCCCAGGCACCACTTCCTGCTGGTCGTCTGAGGGCCGAGGCCTCCAGCAACCCTTGGGTGCAGGGTCTGCCGAGCCCTCCACATTTTCACCGTGCCCCGCTGTGCCTGGCGAGGTGGCTGGCTGCAGTGAGGTCCGTGGAAGCCACTTCGGCCTCCAGCCTCCCGGCTCAGCACCCGCCCCTCCTGAGCGCAGACCACCCCATCCTGTGCCGGTCCCCCTGACGTCCCTTGCCTCCCGTCCCCAGGAGAACGAGACTTGGTGGCTGTGCGACTGCTTCATGGCCACGTGCAAGTACAACAACACGGTGGAGATCGTGAAGGTGGAGTGTGAGCCGCCGCCCATGCCCACCTGCTCCAACGGCCTCCAACCCGTGCGCGTCGAGGACCCCGACGGCTGCTGCTGGCACTGGGAGTGCGACTGTGAGTCCGGGGCCCCCAGGCCCTCCCCGCATCTCCTGCCCTCTCCGTGGGTGGGGGCTGCAGGGCCCGTCTCCCGGGGGCGGAAGGGCTGAGGCTCCTTGGGCACAGATCCCACTGAGGTGTTCGCTGAGGCTGGGTGACTTCTGAGGGTCTTCTCACAGCCCTGCTTTTGCCTCATTGGGTGGGGAGGGCCTGGGCAGGTGGAGGGCTTGCCTGGTGGAGTTAGGGCTCCTCCCTGGAACAAGGGTGCTTCTGAGGCAAGAGGGGGCTGAGTTGAAGTTTGAACCCTGGTCCGTCCTGCAGAATGGGCCACTGTGGGTGCGCCAGGGCAAGTGCAGCTCAGACATCCCCGTGCCCACGCACAGGAGTGGGGTTTTCAGGCCCCAGCTTCCTGCTGGCTCTTCCTGACTATGCCCCAGCCCAGCCCTTGCACCCGACCCCGGCCGAGGGGCACAGGTGGCACGGCTCACTCCGGCTCCCTTGCAGGCTACTGCACGGGCTGGGGCGACCCGCACTATGTCACCTTCGACGGACTCTACTACAGCTACCAGGGCAACTGCACCTACGTGCTGGTGGAGGAGATCAGCCCCTCCGTGGACAACTTCGGAGTTTACATCGACAACTACCACTGCGATCCCAACGACAAGGTGTCCTGTCCCCGCACCCTCATCGTGCGCCACGAGACCCAGGAGGTGCTGATCAAGACCGTGCATATGATGCCCATGCAGGTGCAGGTAGGCACAGCGTGGCCACAGGAGGCTGGCATGGAGGCGGGTGCTGACATGGGCCCCAATGCACCCTGGTTCCCCAGGGGCCAGAGGACTGGGCTGTGGGGGTGCCAAGGCATAGCCTCTCCTAGAGCTGGGCTAGAAGGTAGGATGGGGTGGGCGACTGGCTCCGGGACATATCAGCTCTTCCTGCAGGCCCTCCAGGTGTGTCCTGGGCCCCTCGAGCCCTGGCACCATGCCACGCTGGGCACAGTCTCTGCAGCAGAAGCTGCCTCCTGAGGACAGAGTCAGGGACAGGGCTCTGCACACCCTTGGCTGAGATGCCCCTACTTGCAGGGGAATCATTGGTTCTGAGGCTCAGGAGGCCCCGGGAGCCTGCGCCGGGCTCCACAGTCCCCAGGTGCTCCCAGGAGAGCTCCTTCACTGGCTCACCCATGGGACCAGGGTCTGGTTGGGAGCAGTGGAGTGGAAGCAAGAAAGGGGGCAGGAAAGCGGGGTAGGCAGGGCCCTCTCCCTACATGTGTAGGTCAGAGAGCAGGCGGGGTGGGGCAGCCCTGGAGCTCTCACAAGGAGAGGACCGAGGCAGCTGCAGCTCCCATGGTGTGTCGGCCACAGGTGCAGGTGAACAGGCAGGCGGTGGCACTGCCCTACAAGAAGTACGGGCTGGAGGTGTACCAGTCTGGCATCAACTACGTGGTGGACATCCCCGAGCTGGGTGTCCTCGTCTCCTACAATGGCCTGTCCTTCTCCGTCAGGCTGCCCTACCACCGGTTTGGCAACAACACCAAGGGCCAGTGTGGTGAGTTCCGTGACCCCCATGGCCCCCGAGGCCCCCACGGCTCCCACCGTCCCCTGTGCCCCCATGTCCTGCCCCAGGGCGGGTGGCCAGGCCAGGCTGAGGCTGAGGCTGCGTGTAAACACCCATGGGCCTGGCTGTGGGCCTCTTGCCCCGCTGCTCGGGGCTGCTGTGGCCATCACCCGGGTTCAGTCTCTGTGAGGAGCCAACAGGAGGGGGCCTGGCCTGGTCTCTGCCCTCGGCCCTGGCTGGCCGGTCCTGGGCATCTGGGCTGGAGAAGGGCAGGGCTTACCCTGTCTGCAACGTGGCCTCTCTCACTGATACAGGCACCTGCACCAACACCACCTCCGACGACTGCATTCTGCCCAGCGGGGAGATCGTCTCCAACTGTGAGGCTGCGGCTGACCAGTGGCTGGTGAACGACCCCTCCAAGCCACACTGCCCCCACAGCAGCTCCACGACCAAGCGCCCGGCCGTCACTGTGCCCGGGGGCGGTAAAACGACCCCACACAAGGACTGCACCCCATCTCCCCTCTGCCAGCTCATCAAGGACAGGTGACCCCGCCCAGGCCTGCCTGTGGCCACGACACCAATAAGCTGAGGGCCTCTGTGCCCCAGCCCCCAGCTCTTGCAAAGAGGAAGGAGGCAGCGCGTGGGGCCTGGCGCTGGGGCTGGGAAGGCACGGAGCCGCGGAACCAGGATCAGGCGCTAGGTCGCCGTGGGGTCCAGGACCCAGGCCCTTGGGTTCCACGGGGCTGAGCTGCTACGTGCGGCCTGTGCCTTTGCTGAACTCCAGTCTCTCCTGGCTCCCGGGAAGGTGCAGGGCTGGCCGAGTGTGAGGCCCGGAGTAAACCAGTCAACCCAGGACAGAGCTCAGGGCTGATATTGGGAGGGCAGATTTGGGCTTTGACAGAGAGGGGGTGCTCCTAACGCTGGCAGTCATGGGGGGTCAGCATCCTGTCCCTGGAAGTATAGGGGCCAGGTATAGGCTGGGTGTCCATCTGCCAGGGTTGCTGGAGGGGGTCCTGAAGCTGATGACCACATAGACGTGGTTTCTATCTCTGGGAGCCGGGCTGCAGAGCCACCTTGCTCGGCCATCCCTTGGTCTGTCCCTGAGCTGTCCCCCTGGCTGGCCTGTCCCTTGACCCTCCATCAGCCACAGGCGCCTCTCTGGCGGGTGCCGGACTCCAGGAGGACAGTCCGGGCAGAGACGCTGGGGTAGAGAGCAGGGGAGAGGCAGGTGCCACCTGAGTGTGACCTGTGCCTCTCCCTGCACAGCCTGTTTGCCCAGTGCCACGCACTGGTGCCCCCGCAGCACTACTACGATGCCTGCGTGTTCGACAGCTGCTTCATGCCGGGCTCGAGCCTGGAGTGCGCCAGTCTGCAGGCCTACGCAGCCCTCTGTGCCCAGCAGAACATCTGCCTCGACTGGCGGAACCACACGCATGGGGCCTGCTGTAAGTGCCCATCTGCCCCTGCCCTGGAGCTGGGGGCCTGCAGGCCAGACGTGGTCTCTAGGCTCTGCCAGGTGCTGTGCCCAGCCTGAAGCTAGACCTAGATGGGCTGCGGCCAGGGATGCAGAGATGGCGGGTGTGAGACCAGGGCTGGGGCCATGGGGTGGGGAAGGCCAGGCTGGAGGGGCTGAGGTGCTGGGGCTTCTGCCAGCATCGCTAAATGCAACTGGGTGCCCACCACCCAGCTCGGGACAACCTCGAGGGTGGAGGTTGATGCCCAGGCAGCTGGTCACCCTCCTCCGTGTGTGGGGCACTGGGCAGCTGTCACTCAAGGGGGTCCAGGCTCCTCCGCCTGACATGAGGCAGCCCTCTGACCTCTGCCCATGTCCCTCAGTGGTGGAGTGCCCATCTCACAGGGAGTACCAGGCCTGTGGCCCTGCAGAAGAGCCCACGTGCAAATCCAGGTATGTTGTTTGAGGGTCCACCAGGACCGTGGGCTCGCCTTCTGCAGTGCGGAGGGTGGCATCATCTGGGCATAGCAGTCCCACCTGCCAGCTCCCCAGCCCCACCCCACCTGTCTGACAATGCCCTCCCGCCCCCAGCTCCTCCCAGCAGAACAACACAGTCCTGGTGGAAGGCTGCTTCTGTCCTGAGGGCACCATGAACTACGCTCCTGGCTTTGATGTCTGCGTGAAGACCTGCGGTACGCCACCCACTCACACTGTCCCCTCCTGCCTCCCTCCTGCCTCCTCCTGGGTGTCCACGGAGGCTGGGACCAGGACGCTGACCACCCCCCACCTCTGATCCCTGTTGCACAAGGACTCTGCTAACACAACTTGTCTCCTGGGTGTCCATGGAGGCTGGGACCAGGAGGCTGACCACCCCCACCCCTGCTCCCTGCTGCACAAGGACTCTGCTAACACAACTTGTTTCTTCCCTCTTCCTAGGCTGTGTGGGACCTGACAATGTGCCCAGAGAGGTAGGCCCCACCGTGTTGCTGGGGGATCCTTCCACAAATTCTGAATTCTGGGGAGTGAGGGATGGACATGAAAACCTGGAGCCTCAAAGATTGAGGAATGAGGTCATCTAAGTCCTGGATGGCTGAGTTGGCATGGACACCACCCACTCACCCACCCATCCTTCCACCCACCCACTCATCCACCTGTGCACCCATCTACCCACTCACCTACCCCTCCATCCTTCCACCTACCTAGTCATCACCCACTCATCTATGCACCCCCCCACCCACCCACTCATCCATCCATCCATCCACCATCCACCTACCCAACCATCCACCCATCCATCCACCATCCATCTACCATCCACCATCCACCCAACCATCCACCATCCATCCATCCACCCATCATCCATCTACCATCCACCCACCCACCTATCCATCCATCCATCCACCATCTGTCTACCATCCACCCACCCACTCATCCATCCATCCATCCACCATCTGTCTACCATCCACCCACCCACCTATCCATCCACCCATCCATCCATCCATCCATCCATCCATCCATCCATCCATCCACCCACCATCTGTCTACCATCCACCCACCCACCTATCCACCCATCCACCCACCCATCCATCCACCCAACCATCCACCATCCATCCATCCATCCATCCATCCACCATCCATCTACCATCCACCCTCCCATCCATCCACGCATCCACCCAACCATCCATCCATCCATCCACCATCCACCCACCATCCACCCATTTATCCATCCATTCTCCCTCCCTCCATTCACCACCCATTGGTCATATGATACTCTGTCTAGAAGCTCTGACATGACATCTTGGCCACCTCTGTGCTGCCCATGCCTCCTACCTGTGGTAGCAGCCATGTGGATGATTCCTTAGCTAAATTCTGTACAAACCTGAGAGGCCTGAGTGGAGAATTTGCCACGTGCCAAGCCCCTGCTTGTCGATGCTGGTGAGCAGGTAATGGCTTTGTGATATCAGTGAATGAGCAGCTACTGTCCTATCCCAGAACCTGCCTGGTGTGCTCAGAAGTGAGGAGGGACATGGTTTTCCCCCAGGATCCCTCAGCACTCTGCTCAGGGTGGCTGTTTCTCCCCGCTGACCACAGCTGCAGCTCCGGGGCTGTGGTGAGGTGGGGCCTGCCTGGTGCCACCTGTCCTCTCTACTCACCCTTCTTTCCCTGCAGTTTGGGGAGCACTTCGAGTTCGACTGCAAGAACTGTGTCTGCCTGGAGGGTGGAAGTGGCATCATCTGCCAACCCAAGAGGTGCAGCCAGAAGCCCGTTACCCACTGCGTGGAAGACGGCACCTACCTCGCCACGGAGGTCAACCCTGCCGACACCTGCTGCAACATTACCGTCTGCAGTAAGGCCATCCCCTGGGGCCCATGCCACCTCTCAGGGGTGCACACATCCCTGTAGGCTGGGCTGCCTGCTGTCCCCTCCTTGGCAAGTGAGGAAACAGCTGGCTTGGGGGCCTCTGCTGTGCCCCTTGAGAGGGCTTGGGAGGGGGCCGCTGGGCCCAGTCCAGGCATCCCTGCTGCAGGGCCTGACCTGGGTGGGGAGGGGACCCTTGGAGGTGCTGGAGGCCCGACCCTGTGCAGTGGCCCCGGGGGCTTTGCCTGGGAGGAGCCACCCTCACGGCCGCGTGCGCACCCTGTCTTCAGAGTGCAACACCAGCCTGTGCAGTGGCCCCGGGGGCTTGGCCTGGGAGGAGCCACCCTCACGGCCGCGTGCACACCCTGTCTTCAGAGTGCAACACCAGCCTGTGCAAAGAGAAGCCCTCCGTGTGCCCGCTGGGATTCGAAGTGAAGAGCAAGATGGTGCCTGGAAGGTGCTGTCCTTTCTACTGGTGTGGTAAGCAGGGCTGGTGGGCAGGGCAGGGAGGAGGCTGCCGCCCGGGGTGGGGTGGCTGTAAGGGGGTTGGCTCCCTCCTGGGGGTCTCAGATTCTGGGGACACAGATGGCTGTACGCTTGGCTGATGCACCCACCCCAGCCCTGAGCGCTCGCTCCATCCACTGGGTGTGCACCGGGAGTGGGGGTCTGGCCAGGTGGCCGCCCCGGGGCAGTCTCCAACGAACGGCCTTCTCCGTTCTTTCTCCCAAGAGTCCAAGGGGGTGTGTGTTCACGGGAATGCTGAGTACCAGGTGAGCCCTGGGCTGGGTGAGAGGGAGGAGGGGAGGAGGTCGGCTGCAGCGTGGGGGTCCTGGCAGGCTGTTGGGCTGGCTGGGATGCTGGAGAGGCCCCTGCCTCATGTCTCTCCCTGTGCCCGAAGCCCGGTTCTCCAGTTTATTCCTCCAAGTGCCAGGACTGCGTGTGCACGGACAAGGTGGACAACAACACCCTGCTCAACGTCATCGCCTGCACCCACGTGCCCTGCAACACCTCCTGCAGCCCTGTAAGCGGCCACCCTCCTCCTTCAGCCTGCCCTTTTCCCTCCTCCCAGACAAGCACCCGGGCCCATGTCTGCATCGTGACCCTTTCTTTCCTCCTTTCAACGCCAACCTGTCCCTGTCCCCACCTCTCCATCCTGACACCTGCCCAGCCTGGGGCCTCCTCCAGGTGGGGGGGTCTCGGCAGCCCTGCAGGCTTTGTGTGGTGTGGGGTACAGCCTGGGAGTTCAGTTGCAGTGGCGTGTCTATGTGCGCAGGGCTTCGAACTCATGGAGGCCCCCGGGGAGTGCTGTAAGAAGTGTGAACAGACGCACTGTATCATCAAACGGCCCGACAACCAGCACGTCATCCTGAAGGTAGGTGTGCACTGCCGGCCCCGACGCGGCCGGGTTGCTTGAGCCCAGGGCAAGGCGCGGGCCACCCAGGATCCCCCAGCTGAGTCCTCCCAGTCCTGGGCGCAGCTGTGATGGGCGCCCTGGGGCTGCCATGACAAATGAGCAGGCGTCTTCAGGGCAGAAAGGGATTCTCCTGGTTCTGCGGCCCAGAAATCCATAGAGCAAAGGGCCTCAGGGCTGTGCTCCCTCGGAGGCGCTAGGCAAGGACCTTTCCCAGCCTCTGGTCACTCTAGGTGCCCCTTGGCTGTGACCACGAGGTTTCCTTCCCTGTGTCTGCCTCTCCTCTCCCTTTTAAGGATTTAGGCACCCCAAGCAGGATGATCTCATCTTAGGATCCTTCACTTAATGACACCTTCAAAGACCCCCTTTCCAAGGCAGGTCACATTCATAGATTCAGAGTTAGAACACAGACAGACCTTTGAGGGTTGTGTGGGCTCCAGGCTGGTGCCTGATGTGGGGCCCCGCCCATGTCACTTGTCCTGTGGCCCTGGGCCTCACCAGGAAGCCTCCCCGGCCAGGTGTCTCCAGGGTGTCTTCCTGGCCGGGCTGGGGCTGGGCCTGCTGCCCTCCCTCACCAGAGCTCCCTGCCCCACAGCCCGGGGACTTCAAGAGCGACCCGAAGAACAACTGCACATTCTTCAGCTGCGTGAAGATCCACAACCAGCTCATCTCGTCCGTCTCCAACATCACCTGCCCCAACTTTGATGCCAGCATTTGCATCCCGGTGAGTTGGCCACCTGGGGCCTGGCTGTGTGTACTCTGCCGGGAGTGGGGGTGCCTGGTGTTCTGGGGGGCTGGGGCCCCAGTGCTGCGACAGTGACCTCGGGCCTGGTCTGAGCTGCCGCAGGAGGCTTTGCCTGGGGCTTTCTGCAGCAGCTACCCCCGCCCACGGCATCGTGGGAAGGTGCTCTCATCCCCAGGAATGTCCGGGGGTCCCGGGCTCATTCTCCTTTCCCTCTAGGGCTCCATCACATTCATGCCCAATGGATGCTGCAAGACCTGTGAGTACAGGGCACAGCCTGGGGGGTAGGCAGGGTGGGGGCACAAGGGCTGGTGCCCTCAGCCCCGCCTGGGGTGGCTGGAGGCTGGACAACGGCCTCTGGGTGGGCAGTGAGGGCTGGGGGCTGAGGCCGAGCCTGGGGAGGGGACGCAGCGAGGGAGAGCCTCCTCGAAGATGTGGAGGCCCTGCCCTAAGCCGCTGCCCGCTCTCCCCAGGCACCCCTCGCAATGAGACCAGGGTGCCCTGCTCCACCGTCCCCGTCACCACGGAGGTTTCGTACGCCGGCTGCACCAAGACCGTCCTCATGAATCATTGCTCCGGGTCCTGCGGGACATTTGTCATGTGAGTCCCAGGCTGGGAGTGTGCCTGGAGGGGGTGGTGGAGACCCCAGGGAGGCGAGAGGCCAGCGCTGGCCCCGGAAGGTCACCCCTCACTCCGCCCTCCCCCCAGGTACTCGGCCAAGGCCCAGGCCCTGGACCACAGCTGCTCCTGCTGCAAAGAGGAGAAAACCAGCCAGCGTGAGGTGGTCCTGAGCTGCCCCAATGGCGGCTCGCTGACACACACCTACACCCACATCGAGAGCTGCCAGTGCCAGGACACCGTCTGCGGGCTCCCCACCGGCACCTCCCGCCGGGCCCGGCGCTCCCCTAGGCATCTGGGGAGCGGGTGAGCGGGGTGGGCACAGCCCCCTTCACTGCCCTCGACAGCTTTACCTCCCCCGGACCCTCTGAGCCTCCTAAGCTCGGCTTCCTCTCTTCAGATATTTATTGTCTGAGTCTTTGTTCAGTCCTTGCTTTCCAATAATAAACTCAGGGGGACATGCTGTACTGTGTGGTTTAGGTTGGTGCTGCAGGGGTGCGGCTTGGCCACTGTGCATGGCGGAGGCCACCAGGCTCTGCGTGCAGGACACGGGGGCACCACACACACGCCACGCGGTTGGCAAATCCCTTGTACCAAATGCAGAGGGGACGTGGGGGCTGCCTGCCCTCCGCTCCCCATTCTCACCCTGGGCAAAACCCCCACGGGGCTGTCGAAATGTGGTCAGATTCCCTTGTAGGAATCCCCCGGCCCTGAATCTGTGAAAAGAGCCCTGGGTTCCTTCACAGCCATCTCACAGGCTTTCCACGGTTGGTGGGGCCTTTGTGTAGCCCCGAGGGTCAGGTGGCCCTGGGGAGGGTGTGTGTGTGTGTGTGTGTGTGTGTGTGTGTGTGTGTGTAGCCCCGAGGGTCAGGTGGTACTGGGGAGAGTGTGTGCGTGTGTGTGTGTGTGTAGCCCCGAGGGTCAGGTGACCCTGGGGAGGTGATGTGTGTGTGTGTGTGTGTGTGTAGCCCCAAGGGTCAGGTGGCCCTGGGGAGGGTGTCTGTGTGTGTGTGTAGCCCCGAGGGTCAGGTGGCCCTGGGCAGAGGGTGTGTGTGTGTGTGTGTGTGAGTGCATAGCCCCGGGGGTCGGGTGGCCCTGGGGAGGTGGTGTGTGTGTGTGTGCGTGTGTGCGTGCATGCACGTGTGAGAATTTGCTTTGCACACGTGTCTGCATGTGCCATGTGTATGTGATGTGTGTGCACGTGTGTGCATGCATGTGCGTGTGAGCATTTGCTTGTGTGCACACGTGTCTGCATGTGCCATGTATGTGATGTGTGTGTGCACGTGTGTGTGTGCATGAGCGTGTGAGCATTTGCTTGTGTGCACACGTGTCTGCATGTGCCGTGTGTATGTGATGTGTGTGCACGTGTGTGTGTGCATGAGCGTGCTAGCATTTGCTTGTGTGCACATGTGTCTGCATGTGCCATGTGTATGTGAGATGCGCCTTGTCCTGGGTCTCTACACTGGGAAAATGGAGAAGGTCTTAGTCCTCAGGTCACTGTCAGCTCCTGCTGCCTAGTGACAAAAGGTGGCCAGGACCTGGTGGCCCCGTCAGGGCTTTGGGGAGCTGCCAGTCAGAGCCGCCAATACCTTCAAACCTGCAGAAGTTCTGGTTGGCTCTGCGGACCCAGCTGGACAAGGGGCACTGGCTGTGGACCCTGGGCACAGTGCCCACTCATGTTGGAGAGCTGAGCCCCTGACTTCTGGGTGGAGCCCATGGAGGCTGCTTGGCCCAGAGCAGGTGCCTGGTGTCTCCTGTCAAAGGCAGCAGGTGTGTGTGGGGAGGCCGAGGCCTCTAAGCACAGTGATCCAACCTCGAGCATCCTCTGAGGTCAAAGGGGAGGACATTTGTCTCCAGACTACAAGGCTGTGCCACACCCCTTACATGTGACGAAACCCTCAGGAGGGCAGACACCTGGGCTGGGCTCCACACTTCCAAAGCCAGGGCACAACGGGTCCTCAGGGTGTGACAGGTCCTCAGGGCATGACGGATCCTCAGGTGTGATGGGTCCCCTGGGCGTGACGGGTCCTCAGGGTGCAACAGGTCCCACCTCCTGCTGTCCTGCCTCCCAAATAGTTGTACAGGCATGTGGCACCATGATTGGCTAATTTTTAAGAGCTTTTTGCTTTTTGTTCTTATCTTTCAAAACAATCCTTTGTTTTACTAAAGTAACAGGCACGTGATTTTTGCATAGTTTTGTTTGTTTTGCAGAGACAGGGTCTCACTATGTTGCCCAGGCTGGTCTCAAACTCCTTCCTGGGTTCAAGTGATCCTCCCACCTCAGCCACCCAAAGTACCAGGATTACAAGCATGAGCCACTGATCTTGGCTCCTGGCAGGGGGCTGAGGCCACTGCCCTCCCCTAGCTGCCCTCCCCTAGCTGCCCTCTCCCCCATCTGACCCCAGGGAGGGCCGCGGTTGAGCAGCAACCCTGGGGTCTGAAGCCAGTTGGGACATCCCAGCTCATCAGCGCCACCCTGGGTCCTGGAACCCGCTCAGGCCTGGGGTCTTTCAACTGCCCCACTTGGCCCAGGACAGCCCCCCAAAGGACCTGCTCATCCCCTCTGGTGGCCCCAGGAGCCCACACTGTCTAGGCCTAGGGACCTCCTGGGCAGTCAGTTGGCCTGGGCCTGCCATGGAGCCCCTGAGGCCACCCTAGAGCCTCTGGCATAGCCACGTGGGGATTCTGGGTGCTTCAGAACTGGCCCTTCCATGAAGCTGTCAGCATGGACCCCAGAGCCATCCTTGGGTCATTTCGAGGGTGGCCTGTTTCTGGCCCACCCCCAAAACCTATCACATCTCTGCCTGGCTGTGACCCTTGGGCCCAGCAGTCCCTGCACAGGCCAGGAAATGGGCAGGGCGGGGTGGGGGCACTGCGGCCAGAGACCTGGTAAGGAAGAGGTGGTCAGGCTCCCTCCAGTTTCCTCATCTGTCTCCCAGCTTGCAGCTGCGAAGAGGGGCTTCCCCTGGTGATGCAGCGTGGACACGGGTACGGCTAGGCCCCTGCCTGCTCTTCCCTGCTGTGCCCTTTAAAGCAGAGGCTACCCGGGAAGCTCCAGGAGAGCATGAGCCCTGACCCCAGTCCTTCCCCAGACAGCCCTGCCCCTTCCCAGAGCAGGCCCCACCCCTTCCCTAGAGGAGGCCCCGCCCCTTCCCCAGAGCAGGCCCCACCCCTTCCCTAGAGGAGGCCCCGCCCCTTCCCCAGAGCAGGCCCCACCCCTTCCCTAGAGGAGGCCCCGCCCCTTCCCCAGAGCAGGCCCCACCCCTTCCCTAGAGGAGGCCCCACCCCTTCCCCAGAGCAGGCCCCACCCCTTCCCTAGAGGAGGCCCCGCCCCTTCCCCAGAGCAGGCCCCACCCCTTCCCTAGAGGAGGCCCCGCCCCTTCCCCAGAGCAGGCCCCACCCCTTTCCTAGGACAGGCCCCGCCCCTTCTGCCCACTCAGGATCTTCCTTTTGGGTTCTCTGTGTCCAGAACTCCAGTGCAGGTGTTGAGGGTGGGGAGGGAGCTGCCCCTTCAGGTGGAGGCAGGGTTGGTGCCAACGGAGGGGCAGGGAGACGCAGGGGCTCCCCCCAACCCCGTCCAGTCACGGTGCAGCCCCCGACTTTATCCCCAGCGCCCTCCTCTTCCTCGCATAACTCATGCCCCCAGCTGGGTCCTCCTGGGTCTCCCTAGGGGTGACTCGGGCCAGGGGCTACCTGTTTCCCCGGGCTCACCACAGTGGGCTAAGCCTACAGCAGAGGAGATAGGGAGCCCGCCAGCCAGGTGGGCAGCCGGCCACCCCCTCGGAGTAGCTGCACGGGTTGGGGTCAAGTTCTCGCATTCTCTGGAAGAAGCTGGCTGTTCTGTTCCCACGGCGGCCTCCCTGTTTCTGGGAGCAGACGGAAGGCCCCAGCGCGCACTCCTCCCTTCCGCCCAGGTGAGACTTGCTGTTGTTCCGTGGGCTGAAACAGGCCATGCGCCTGGCTGTCGGGTGCTCCGGGCGGCACCAGCAAATGACCACAAACCGGGGGCCGAAAGCCACAGGAAAGCTGTCTCCCACAGTCCCGGAGGCCGGAGTCTGAGGTGCAGGCGTGGCGGTGCCACAAGGCCGCTCAGGCTCCGGGGAAGATGCTTTTGGCCCTTCCAGCTGCAGGTGGCTCTGGGCGTTCCTTGGCTTGCGGCTGCATCGCCCATGCCCTGCCTCCGTCTCCACGGGGCTTCTCCTGGGCGTTTCTCCCTTTGCGTCTCTTCTAAGGACATTGGTCTTTGGATTTAGGGCCCACCTGATAATCCAGGCTGATCTCGTGAGGTCCTCAATCTAATCACATCTGCAAAGACCCTTTTTCTTTTTCTGTTTTTGGAGACAGATTCTCGCTCTGTCACCCAGGCTAGAGTGCAGTGGTGTGATATCGGCTCACTGCAACCTCCGCCTCCCGGGTTCAAGCGGTTCTCCTGTCTCAGCCTCCTGAGTAGCTGGGATTACAGGCGCCCACCACCACACCCAGCTGATTTTGTATTTTTAGTAGAGATGAGATTTCACCATGTTGGCCAGGCTGGTCTCGAACTCCTGACCCCAGGTGATCTGCCCGCCTCGGCCTCCCAAAATGCTGGGATTATAGGGGTGAGCCACTGCACCTGGCCCCGAGTCTTGGTGGTTCACGGCAGCAGGGTTCTGTCTGGTTCATGCTCCGTTTGTGGCTGCGTGGCTGGTGCCCTCCACTACATCCGCTCACTCCAGGGCCTAGGCTGTGGGAGCAGCTATTGCCTCCGTGGTCACGGTGTGGGGACGGGAGACCGAGGGTCTTGTCCATGTCCCAGTCCCCTGAGAGGTTCTGGCTCTGCTCAGACACCGAGTCCCTGGGGCTGCTGTACCACCACCAGGCAGGAGAGGGTGCCAGAGACGTGTGGAGGATTTAAAAACGGAAGGATCTTAGGTGCAGACAGGTGTCTGATGGGAGTCAACAGCGTGTCTCAACTCGCTATTATAAAAAGAGCAAGCCCAGACTAGAAGGAAGCCGTCTTAACCTGTTTAGGAACATCTGCCCAGAAACTACAGCACACATCGAACCCCTCCGCTTGCTGGGACTTGAGAATCACTCCCACAGAAGCCAGCGGACATGGGAGATGTTGGCGATGGCTGTGCCTTCCCTCTATGGGGGTGCTGGAGGCTTCACCAAGTCCGTGAGACAAGAGCAAGAAGAAATGAAGACCAGCATTGGGAAACAAAACTGTCCTGATTTGTTTCATTTTAATTTATTTTTTGTAGAGACAGGGTTTTGCTATGTTGCCCAGACTGGCCTTGAACTCCTGGGCTCAAGTGATCTGCCTGCCTTGACCTCCCAAAGTGCTGGGATTACAGGTGTAAGCCATTGTACCTGGCCTTTATTTCATATAATGTGATTATCAAGATGTAAAAGCCAACTGGCTGGGCACGGTGGCTCACGCCTGTATTCCCAGCATTTTGGGAGGCTGAGGCAGGCAGATCACCTGTGGTTGGGAGTTCAAGACCAGCCAGGCCAACATGGTGAAACCCCATCTCTACTAAAAATACTAAAATTACCCGGGAGGTGGTGGTGGTGGGCACCTGTAATCCCAGGTACTCGGGAGGCTGAGGCAGGAGAATGGCTTGAACCTGGGAGGCGGAGGTTACAGTGAGCCGAGATCACACCATTGCATTCCAGCCTGGGTGACAGAGCAAGACTCTGTCTCAAAAACAAACAAAAACAAACAAACAAACAAAGAAAGAAACATGAAGATGTAAAAACCAAGAGAATTTTTGACTCTATTATTTGAACTAATGAGAGGGTTCAGTAATGTTGGAGACAAGGTTGATGAGGGAAAAAACAATAGCGTATGTTTACACCAGTAGAAACCAAGCTGAAATATAATAGAAAAATACTTCATTAACAGCAGCCTCAAAACCTACGAAGATACCTATGTAGAAAACGTCAGATGGAAGGTGTCCAGGCCACTATAACATTGCAAAGGGCATAAAAGAAGACTTGACTGATGGAGACGTATGCCACGTTCATGAATGAAAAGTGTAAGTTTTGAAAAATGAGATTAATTTTAAAAAGTGAAAAACGAGGTCGATTCTCCGCAAACAGCCTTTCTCAATCCCAGCTGAGTTTTTCGTGGGATTTGGCCGGCTGGTCCAAAGGTCCACGTGGAAGGCCAGAGAGCCAAGCAGAGCTAAGTGAGTTTCAGAGAAGAATCATGTGGGACGCCTGCCTCTAAGACAGCGTGGCATTGGTGCCGGGATAGGCAAGTGGATGCCTGGAACAGCCCATGTGCTTACGATGATGCTTTGAGGTGGGTGGGTGCTCCACATCTACAAGGAAGGAGGGTTGTTCTCTGAGGGTGCTGGGCCGGGCTGTTCCCTGAGTGTGCTGGGCTGGGCTGTCCCCTGAGTGTGCTGGGCTGGGCTGTCCCCTGAGTGTGCTGGGCTGTCCCCTGAGTGTGCTGGGCCGGGGCTTCTCTACATGGGGAAAATTAGGTGCCTGTGTCACGCTCTAAACAAAAATAAAACACCAGGTAGATTAAACAACTCAGATGTGAAAAGCTAAACCTGAAAACATTTAGAAGGAAAACAGGCATAATATTGATGACCTCAGGGTAGGAAAGGGTTTCTTAAGTCACTAAAGTCACAAGCTATCAAAGTAAAGAGAGACGCATTTGACCACATTACATTTTAAAAACTGTGTTTGAAAAAAGACAACATAACTAAGTAAAAATACAAGCCAGGGAGTGGAAGGAGGTCATCTCTGTGCATCCGGCGCTGAGGCCGGAGTCCAGGAGATCTAGCGAACGTCATGGTCAGACAAGCAGCCCAGGGTTGAGGCGGGGGTCACACAGGAGGAGACGCGGACAGGCGGGGGTCACACAGGAGGAAACACGGACAACACAGGGAGTAGCCAGCAGGGAGGCTCGGCCACTGGGACCCCAGGAAGGGCGTGATAATCCTTGAGACCAGCTGAAGGTTCTCACACCTCCAGAGAGAACATGCTGGGGCGTTTAGGGGAGAGCGGTTGGTCAGGGCAGCCAAGCTGAGGACACAGTCCTGCTTCTGGGCACCCAGGGAGCTGCCCACCCGGGAGGATGGAGACTGGAAATGGCCTGCATGCTGGTCCACCAGGAACGGGCTGCTCCTCTGGGCATATTCATCCTCTGGATGGGGCCCAGCACTAAACCGGAACTGCCTGTCTTGACAAGGAGGCATCGCAAACCCAGCATCGAGCAGAAGGAATGAATCGCGGGTCTCTAATCCTGCACCCTGATGCTGTCCGTTTCTGTGAATGTGAAACAGGACCCTAATGCTGGACACTTACAAAAGTAGTAAAATTATAAAATATTTTGAGAGGCACTGGATTCAGGGTCACGGTTGCCTCTGGAGAGGGTTGGAGAGCAGGGAGGGGCACCCACTTCTGCCCGTGATGTTTATTCCTTGATGGAAAACACCTGAGCTAGAGTGGCAGGTCTGATATTAGTTACAGCTGACGGTGAGGAGGTAGTGGTCATGTCCATTCCATTACTCTGTTCTTCATAGGGTTTGAAATCATCCATAACAAAAAAGTCAGAGGGGCCGGGCACGGTGGCTCATGCCTGTAATCCCAGCACTTTGGGAGGCCGAAGCGGGTGGATCACCTGAGGCCAGGGGTTCGAGACCAGCCTGGCCAACATGGCAAAACCCCATCTCTACTAAAAATATAAAAATTAATTAGCTGGGCATGGTGGCACATGCCTGTAATCCCAGCTGCTCGGGAGGCTGAGGCAGAAGGATCACTTGAACCCAGGAGGCGGAGGCTGCAGTGAGCTGAGATTGCGCCACTGCTCTCCAGCTTTCATGACAGACTTTGTCTCCAAAAAAAAAAAAAAGAAAAAAGAAAGATTTAGCACTATTCATTCATTTGAGGAAAAAAGTGGCCGGCGCTGTGGCTCACGCCTGTGATCCCAGCACTTTGGGAGGCTGAGGTGGGTAGATCATGAGGTCAGACCATGAGGTGGGATCAGAAGACCAATACCCCAGGGTTGGCTCCCTAAGACCAGCCTAAACTGGCAGCCCAGGGCTGAGGGCACGGCCAGAGCTGGGGCCCTCGCCCACCCACCACCCACCTGCATGGGGAGGGGCCTTGGGGTGACTGAGCGTGAGAGGGGCTGTGCGGAGGTGGCTGTGATGGTCTCTGGTCCCGCCTCTGGGGCAGGTGGTGCTGACAGGGCAGGATTTGGGCAGCAGGAGTCAGGGGCTCCCAGGGAAGCCTGGAGAGGCTGAGCATGGGGTTGGACCTCAACAGGCACTTTTGGGAAATCTTGTTGGGGGCTGGGGCTGGTGGAGAAGAGTTGGGGTCCTCGTGGGAGGGCAAGGCAGGCCTGCTGGGGCTGGGTAGGGCTGGGGAGGGATGAGAAGGAAGAAGTGTTTCCTTTTGTTTTTTTAAATTATACTTTAAGTTTTAGGGTACATGTGCACAATGTGCAGGTTTGTTACCTATGTATAATGTGCCATGTTGGTGTGCTGCACCCATTAACTCGTCATTTGTATTAGGTATTTCTCCTAATGCTATCCCTCCCCCCTCCCCCACCCCACAACAGGCCCTGGTGTGTGATGTTCCCCTTCCTGTGTCCATGTGTTCTCATTGTTCAGTTCCCACCTATGAGTGAGAACATGTGGTGTTTGGTTTTTTCGTCCTTGCGATAGTTTGCTGAGAATGATGGTTTCCAGCTTCATCCATGTCCCTACAAAGGACATGAACTCATCATTTTTTTATGGCTGCATAGTATTCCATGGTGTATATGTGCCACGTTTTCTTAATCCAGTCTATCATTGTTGGACATTTGGGTTGGTTCCAAGAAGAAGTGTTTCTAGAAGGATCTTCCGGAGGCTGAGAGAAGGAGGGAGTGGGGAGGCTGGTGGGAACTGGGAGGGCAAGGGAAGGTGAGGCGTGGGGGCCAGAGACCCTGGAAGGTCTCCCCAAAGTGGACAGAGTATCTGGAGACCCAGAAGGTGGAGAATACGGTGGGGCCCGGTGGGCTTCAGAGGGCCTGGGAGCTGGGTAGTAGGGGCCCCCCTCGGGCACTCGAGAAAGACCCCTCCATGCTGAGCTCTAGCCATTTATTCCAGTCCAGAGGTACGGGTCTTAGAGCACCCGAGGCCACTCCTGTCCCCAGGTCACTGTGGCTCCTGACCAGCCCTCAGGAGCCGAAGGGCGGGACCCCTCCCCGTACCCCATGTTGGGTGCTGACCAGCCACTGTGTGCGTCATTAGGTAGGGCTGAATTAAAACCCCATAAATCTCATAAATAAATAAGGTGGCTGGGCCAGCCCTGTGTGCAAACACTCAGCATCGGTGTGGCTGCACCCGTTGCTGGGGGAGCCCGGGACCCCCCTCCCCTCCTCGCCCTTGTCCCTGGTCCCTTGCTCTCCTCCCTCCTCCGGAATTCTAGCTCTTTCTCTCCAAACCAGGCGGTGACACCTCTGCGCTCCCAGTGTCCTTTTGAGGCTGAAGGGGGCGGCGTCCCACAGGGCAGGGGCCTGGCCTTGTCTGGGTCTGGGGGCTCAGGACTCTGGGGGCTGTTGCATCTCTGCTTGGACCCAGAGTGGGGTCTGTGCCACCCTGGATGGCGGCTCACAGAGGGCAGGGCTGTGGGGGACAGAACTTGGGCCGTGGAGAGGCCTCAAGAGGAGGTGAGCTTGGGGCATCTCCTGGGCCCATTACAGAGCATGAGGTTGTGTGCTGGGGGCGGCCGGGGCTGAGACTGCACCGTGGGGCAGCCAGGGCTGAGTCCATCACAGAGCATGAGGTTGGGCTGTGGGGGAGGCCGGGGGCGGCCCGGGCTGAGACTATGCGGTGGAGTGGGCTGAGGCTGCACCGTGCTCAGGGCTGGTTTAAGCTCTGGGTCCCTGTCTTGGATTCCGTCATCTTTGGAGGGGCCTCCTTTCCAGTTTGCAGGGGGCCCCATGGGTTCTGCTCTGCAGGGGCTGTGGGAATGGTAGGTGCCCGCCCTGAGCCTGGCTCGGCTGTGATTGAATTTGTTGTGTGGCAGCCGTGTGGGTTACATGAAGGGAGAGGCTGAGGACCCCAACTCGAGGAAATTGCGATCTACGGCATCTATGCCAGATTTCAAGTCAGCGTGTGAAGAGGGTCCGGGGTGTCCGAGGGACCAACTGCAAACCCTCCCCACAGGGACCCTTTGGTGCCCAGATGGGACCCTGGGCCTGTTTCCACCGGCCTGGGGCTGCAGCCTGGGCATGGCCAGGGGCAGAGCATCAGGAAGCCCTGGGAGATAGAGGGCTTGCCCAGGATGGGGTGCAGTGGTGGATCACAGCCCCCTGAAGCCTCCACCTGCTGGGCTCAAGTCACCCTCCCATCTCAGCCTCCCAAATCTCCAGGATTACAGGCATGAGCCACTGCACCTGGCCATGCTGCATTTTTCAATAGAGCAGAAATGTTTTTCTCAGCAGCAAACCACATTTCCAGTGCAACGGGCTCCTGCAATCTCGGGGCCACTGCCAGCCCCGAGGCACTGACCCTCTGCCCTGCGTGTGCTGAGGAGAACGTGTGTCCCTCGCCTGACCCTGCAGAGCCCACATCCTGCAGGACCCCAGGTCCAGAGGACCCACGCTCTGCCACTCCCACCCCTGTCCCGGCCCCTCAGAGCCCCCCCATCACTGTGGTGCTTGCTGCTCTTGGAAAAGTGAGGAGGGTGCAGACGGCAGGGGCCATGTTCTCCTGGGAGGCCCCTCTTGGCTTCTGCTGGTCTGGCTGGAGGCAGGGGCTGTTTGGACCCGGACCCCACCGCTGACACCGCAATTTGACCCTGACCCTTTCTTGACCCTTCTATGGCTCCTGGCATTCTTGGAGGGGCCCAGGCAGTGCCCGGATTCCTCACAGACCAGGCTGACCAGAGCCTTCTGCTAGGCACACCCGCAAACCTTTAACCTCGCTGTAGAGCCCTGGACCCTCCTGGCCTCTCGCTGCCTCACCCTCACTCCTGCTCCTGCTCAGGCGTCTGGGGACAGAGCATGTCCTTGAGGGTGTGGAGGCCAGCAAGGGCTGCACTGCCCTCCCCATGGGCTCTCGACATGGGAGGGGCCCGGGAGACTTGGAAGGGGGTGGCCTGCAGGGATGGGCAGCCCTGGGGCGGTGGGAGGGTGGCGTGTGGCTGGCCACCTGCCAGGAGTGCTGATTGCGGCGGGTGGTAAACTGCGGGTGCCCCTTTGCGGTGCCCGGATACCTGGCGGGGAGCCCTGGGGGCTGCCCATGAACCAGTGCCCACTTTCCTGCCCCTGGCACGGGCTCGGCATGGGACCCAGTGCCCAGTGCCCACTGCCCATTGCACGCCCCCCTCCTGCCCCAACGGCCGGCAGCACTAGTGGCCTGCTTGGCCTCACCTCGCTGTGCAGACGGGGGGTGCCTCAGGGCTGCCCAAAAATCCTGAGTCTGTGGCTCAGTGGAATCTCCAAACCACAGAGGCCAAAGAGGGCGGGGCCCCAGGAGGATGAGCCATGTTGTCAGGAGGGGCCAGTGCACAGAGGATGGCAGCCCCCTGGTCCCTGTCACGGAGTCCGCGCCCCTGCCTGTGCTGTCACTGCCTGCTTGAGTCCCGGAGAGCCATTCACATCCGTGCCTTGCACCCGTGTCCTCCACACCCAGGCCGGGTCCTGGTGCACCCCGGGGTCCCGGAGAGCTGTTCACATCCGTGCCTTGCACCCGTGTCCTCCACTCCCAGGCCAGGTCCTCGTGTACCCCAGGGTTGGAGGGACAAGGAAGAAGGCGTTCACACTGTGACCTCCCCTGGGGCTGCCAGCACCGGAGGGTCTTAGGCCTGGCTTGAGGACGGCCCCATCCCCACCCCGTCCTCCTGGGCCTTGCCAGCATCACTGGGTGGTCGTGGTGCCCCACTCCTGTGTGGGCCCAGAAGTGACCTACGAGTCCCACTCAGCGCGGCACCCTGGCAGCCTGGCATGGAAGGTTGTGGGTCAGGAGTGTCCCCTGCTGCCCTGGGAGCCCCCACCCGCCCAGGCTGGTGGCGGCTGCTCAGGGGTGACCTGCAGGCAGGACAAGAGCCGAGGCTGCAGGGCAGCCTGTGTGTTGTCTTTGAGAGTCGGTTAGAGCCGCCCCAGCTGCCCCAGCCTCCTCTACCTCCCTCTTGGCCCAGGCAGCAGCCTCGGCTGCAGAGACGTCTGGTCAACCCGAGGAGGGCCTGGGATGTGGCCTTGGTTGAGTCAATGTTTCCCTCTCTCCCCCGAGGGGCTGGCCTCTCCTCCCTGGGGCGTGTTCCCATGCTCCAGTCCAGATGAGCCGTGTCTGTTTTCCCAGGGAGACGAGAGAATATCTTTTCCTTTTCTTTGAATAAATGTGCCCATTGCTGGCACCTGTGCCAAGCGGTTCCCAGGCCCGAGAACCCTGCCAGGCTGTGGTCCTGACCGCCCCAGGGAACCTGGAAGTGCCTGCACCTGGAGCTGGGAGAGATCCTGGATTAGCCCCCGAGGGCAGGCACGCAATGCCGGGGTCAGCCAGGGGAAGCAGCTGTCCACAGCTCCACAGGCTGCATGCCAACCACGGCTGCATGGCTGGGACCTTCTCACCCGCCAGGGCCTCTCCACCAAGCAGCGCCTGCCTGGCCACCCCTGGACAGCCCCTGGGTTGGTCAGCGGGCTCCAGGCAGGCCAGCAGGGTCTGCCCACACCACCCAGTGAGCGCTCTTGGAGGGGATGGGGGGCCTGGCACACAGTCAGGCTCAATGAACATTTGGAGAAAGAAGGAATGAAGGGTCCCCCCCCACAGGCAGCTGGATGGGGGTCCGCTGTGGCCCAGCACCATGTGCCCAGCCCTCTCCCCCTGGCCACCGTGAGGCCACCTCTTCTGTGGTGGATGGCGGCCTGGGCTGTGAGCCCTGCGTCAGCCGTGGACCCACCCTCCCTCTCTTTCCTTCCTCTCTCTCTATCTCTCTCCATCATTTCTCTCCCTCCCTCTTTCCTTCTCTTGCTTTCTTTCTCTTTTCCCTTCTATCTCTTTTTTCTTTTTCTCTCCCTTGTACCCTCCCTCTTCCCTCCTTCCTCCTGATTCCCTCCTTCCTCCCTCTTCCCTCTCTCTCTCCCTCCTTCTTCCTTCCCCCTCCCCCTTCCTTCCTCCCTCCGTCTTTCCTTCCTTCCCTCCTTTTTCTCTCTCCCTCCCTCTGCCTCCTCTGTTTCTCTCACTCCCTCTGCCTCCTCTCTCTCTCTCTCTTCCTCCTCTCTCTGTCTCTCTCTCCCTCTGCCTCTTGTCTCTGTCTCTTTCCCTCCTTCTGCCTCCTCTCTCTGTCTCTCTCCCTCCCTCTGCCTCCTCTCTCTGTCTCTCCTTCCATTAGTACATCATATGGGATGCAATGCTGGCTGAAGGCATGTGGGACAATTTTTTAGACTGTCCTTTTTCTCAATCCCTCCATAACATTCAGGCCACAGAGGCTTTGGTCCTGTCCTTGCTGTGTCCAGCATCACCTGCAGTAAAATCCAGCCTCAGTCCCCCTTTAGGACATGCGGGGACAGAGCTCCGTGGAACCCCAGCATGACATGCTGTTCACCTCTTTAACGCTGCACCTTTTCATACTGTTAAAATGGCAATCAGATTTCCAATGTATGAACTTTGAGGAATATATTCACACCATAACATGCCTCTCTGTCCTTTGGGCCTTCTCAGACCTGTTCTGTCCACCTAGTGCAGGTGCTGTCAGCTTCAGCCTCCTCCTCAGAGACCAGACATGTCCTACAATCTGGGGTCCCTTGTCTGGCCAGAGGGAGGGACGTCAGGATGGGACAGGTACTCCAAGAGTTCTGACTTAAACAGCCCAGGAGGTGGTTCCTTGGGGTGTGGAAAGAGAGCAGGGGTGGTTCAGGAGATAGCCCGTGGCTATTGTTCATGTGGGGTCTGAATTCAGGCTGCTCACATCTGGTTCTGCCCAAGACTTAGCTTCTCAACATCTGCACCAGGAATAGAGGACCCACCTGCCCCAGGGAGAGATGACTGACCTGCCCCAGGGCCAGAGGATGCACCTGCCTGAGGACAGAGGGGTGTGAGTCCTGCCCTCTGCTCATAGGCAACCCTGGAGCATGGGCTCAAGCCTTCTGAGACTTGGTGGGGGCATGGGATTTACTCCCAGGCAGGGCTCACCTGGACCAGGGCCCTCCACTGCCCCTGGTGCTGAACTCAACCCCACCCCTGAATACTGCCGTGGGGTTGTCTATGAACATCTCCCCCAGCTCTCAGTGAGCTCCCTGAGGGCAAGACCTGTTCCAGCCCCATGAAGGCCCCATACATGTTGTGGAATGAATAAATATGAGTGAATGAGTAAGTGAATATGAATATCAATAATACAGTTGAACATGTATGAATGAATGAAGAGAAATATGTGAATGTAGATGGATGGGAATGAATGGATGGGAATGAGTGGATGAGTGAGTGAACAGGAATGAGTGGATGGGAATGAGTGGATGGGACTGAATGGATGGGGATAAGTGAATAAGGATGAGGGGATGTGAATGTAGATGGATGGGAATGAGCACATGAATGAGTGAACAGGAATGCATGGATGGGAATGAGTGGATGGGAATGTAGATGGATGGGAATGTAGATGGATGGGAACGAGTGGATGGGAATGAGTTGATGGGAATGAGTGGATGGGAACGAGTGGATGGAAACGAGTGAATGGGAATGTAGATGGATGGGAATGAGTGGATGGGAACGAGTGAATGGGAATGTAGATGGATGGGAACGAGTGGATGGGAACAAGTGAATGGGAATGTAGATGGATGGGAATGAGTGAATGGGAATGAGTGGATGGAAATGTAGATGGATGGGAATGAGTGGATGGGAATATAGATGGATAGGAATGAGTGGATGGGAATGTAGATGGATGGGAATGAGTGGATGGGAATATAGATGGATGGGAATGAGCGGATGGGAATGTAGATGGATAGGAATGTAGACGGATGGGAATGAGTGGATGGGAATGAGTGGATGGGAATGTAGATGGTTGGGAATGAGTGGATGGGAATGTAGATGGATGGGAATGAGTGGATGGGAATGAGTGGATGGGAATGTAGATGGTTGGGAATGAATAGATGGGAATGAGTGGATGGGAATGTAGATGGATGGGAATGTAGATGGATGGGAATGAGTGGATGGGAATGAGTGGATGGGAATGTAGAGGGATGGGAATGTAGATGGATGGGAATGAGTGGGTGGAAATGTAGATGGATGGGAATGAGCGGATGGGAATGAGTGGATGGGAATGTAGATGGATGGGAATGAGTGGATGGGAATGTAGATGGATGGGAATGAGTGGATGGGAATGTAGATGGATGGGAATGAGCGGATGGGAATGTAGGTGGATGGGAATGAGTGGATGGGAATGTGTGGATGGGAATGTAGATGGATGGGAATGAATAGATGGGAATGAGTGGATGGGAATGTAGATGGTTGGGAATGAGTGGATGGGAATGAGCAGATGGGAATGTAGATGGATGGGAATGAATAGATGGGAATGAGTGGATGGGAATGAGTGGATGGGAATGTAGATGATTGGGAATGAATAGATGGGAATGAGTGGATGGGAATGTAGATGATTGGGAATGAATAGATGGGAATGAGTGGATGGGAATGTAGATGGATGGGAATGAGTGGATGGGAATGAGTGGATGGGAATGTAGATGGATGGGAATGAGCGGATGGGAATGTAGATGGATGGGAATGAGTGGATGGGAATGAGTGGATGGGAATGAGCGGATGCATGAATGAATGAAGATGACTCAATGAATGAACAAACAAACAACAGTCTCCCACAGTGGCCTGTGGTGTGAGCCCTGCTGCCAGCCATGGAAACTGAGGCAGAGAGGCTCCTGGCTCAGCCCTGCCCAGCCTGTCCAGCCCCTGTGATGTTGGACCCTCCGGTGCAGACCCACCAGTCATCTGCAGTGACGGGTGGCAGTGGACGTGGGCTGAGTCGCGGCGGACTGAGTCCTGGTGGCCACTGCTTGATTTCATTGCTGGGCAGTGCTCCCGTGCAGGGTGTATTTGTCCACTCCCCCTTGGGGTGCAGGGGCTGTGCCTTCGGTGCCTGTGGCTTCAGTGCCTGTGCCCGGGAGAGGGCTCATTCCCCATGTTGGCTCCTGTGGGCCCCTGAGCCCTAGTATTCAGTTCATTGGCTGCTGTGTGTCTACCGGGGCCGCCATAATGAATGCCCACAACAGGTGGCTTGAAAACATGGGAAATGTATCCTCTCACCGTTCAGGAGGGCAGAAGTCCCAGTTCTGGGAGGCAGAAGTGTTGATTCCCACTGGAGGCTTGGAGTACCTCTGACACACATACCCGGCCTTTCCCTATGGGGACACACATGGATGGTGGACGACACCACCCAGATCGTCCAAGAAGATTTCATCTGAGATCCACATTATACCTTCTGCCAGCAAGGCAGCCCTCCCAGGTCCCAGGGTTCAGGGTTTGGGCTTATCTTTTGGGGGCCACCCTAATCCTCCTATAGTCCCAGAGGCCTGATGGGACTCACAGCTCAGCCTAAATGGTCCCCTGGGACAGATGGACGGGCAGTCCAGCAGCCAGGCAGGATGGGAGGGAGGTCCACCCGTGCTGGAGAGCTCGGACCCCTGGGCCAGCCAGGGCCTGTGCGAGGCCCATGCACAGACAGGAGCTGCTTGGGAAGTCGTGGTCCTAACCCCTGATGCTGACACGCAACGTCTCCAGATGCCCTGGTGGTGGGGAGACATCAGTCCCTCCCAGCTGGTCAGCCTGCGGACTACTGAGCTGGACACCGTGAGGAGCCATCTGACTCGACGGAGGAAGCCCTCATGGGGGCGTGGGATGCTCTGGGGCCTCTGCACTGCCCCCACCCCCCCGCACCCTGAAAACGACGTCTGTGTGTGGTGCAGCTAGCGTGGACCATGTCCCACGGAGGGCCCACCCCTACCAGGTCCGTCTTCTGGCATGGCCATGGCTGGGCCTTCCGCCTCACCCGCTCTGGGAGGGAGCCCTGGCCTGCGCTGGAACACTCGGCCTCCTCCGTGAGGGGGTTTGTGCTCGGACAACATGAAGGCAGACGGATGCCTAGCACAGCTGGCTTGGTAAACAGAGAATGTGCCGTTTACTCCCACATCCGCAGAGTAAATCCCCACGGGCAGTGCGCCGGGTGCTGGGGACCGGCAGTCTCCACTTTGGGGAGAGGCAGAGCAACAACGCCTGACCCCAGGAGTTTGGAGCTGCACCCTGGTCTGTGTGCGTAAGGCTCCTTGGCTGCACCCCACGCTGGGTGAGGGCACTGGGCTGGAGATGGGGCAGGTGGGCGACTGTCCCGGTGGCCCTCCAGCGCGGTCCCCAAACCGGGCCTTTCCCACCACCCGGGGAGGACGCTGCTTATGGCCAGGCATCTTGGGCAGCCCCAGTGCACAAAGTCAGGGCTCCTGGTGGCCCGGGCAGGCTCTGTGCATGGTGGGACCACCTTAGCCTTGCCTCTTGCAAAGCAGCGCCCAGCCCCCACCCTGCCCTCTTGTTGGCTTTTCTGGGAGGCCTGTGGGGGGCCTTTCCAGTGCCCTGGTGCCGCCCCTGAGCTCTGGGTCACTGCCCAGAGGCGTCTGAAGCAGACACCTGCCCCTGCCTCCCTGAGCCCACGCTACCCGCTCTGTATCCTATCTAGAACTTTCACGAGCCGACATTGTCCTGTGTGCCAGCTCACTGTCCCCACGGAACAGCCATGCCACGAGGGTGGGGTCCCTTTTGTTTGGGGGGCAGAGCTCAAGCTTTTGGATCTGCTTCAAGCCCAGAGCCACCCGTCAGCTGAAATACTGAAAGGAGGAAGGGGTGAGAGGAGGAAGGACTACGGGGTGGACAGGGCTCTCAGCAGGCACCCCTGCCCCACTTCACAGCAGCCCTGCGGCCGGGGACGGACTTTGGCAGGGCTGGTGGCAGCTGGGTCAATCTGGGCTTTTGGGAGGCTCTGGTTCTGTGGACCCTCTAGGGCTTGTCCCCCCGCCTGTGACCTGAGGTCTCCTGAGCTCTGCATCTCAGTCTGCTCTCGAGTTAAATGGGGACAGTATCACATGCTACAGAAGGCCTGTGGCAAAACGCTGTCTGTAGAGACCCCAGCACAGCTGCAGCTCAGAAACAGCCACCGTTGTGAAGAAGATGCGTAAGAGTCAGTTGATCATGACTACTAGCCTTTCCTTGAAGCCTGTGTGTACAGGTAAAACTGCTGTGTAGCACACACACACACACACACACACACACACACACACACACACCCACGAAAAGCACGCAGCCAACTGAGCCCAGGTCTGACGCTGTCTGTCCTGACTCTAGGACACACCCGGGTTCCTGACATTCACAGTGAACCTGTGAGCTCTGGAGCCAACGAGAGACGTTATTGGCCAACGCACTGCCCTGGGGCCGGGTCGCTGGGGGGACCCAGGTAGGAGGCAGGGCTGGGGGAGCAGAAAGGCAGGGATGGGGATGGACGTGGCTGATGCTGTGACCTCAGCCAGGACAGTCCCCGAGTGGAGGAGGAGGCTGGGCCCCCCTAAGGCCGCTCTTCCCCAGCCTCCTGCCCCCCGGCCCAGGTCTTATCACCCTCACCCAGCCCCGGCCTCCCCTCTCGACCCCCAATCTGTTCCCACCTCCGTTGGAGGAGGCTCCTGAGGTGGGTGCCCCTCTAGCCTGCCTGCCCCTGTCCAGGCCCTGAGGGCTCCAGAGGGGGGCCGAGGCCTGGGGGTCCCGACCTCCATGTGCCTCCCGTGTCCCCCGCTGCAGCCCCACACGCACCCCACTGTCCAGCCACACAGGCCGTCTGAGGCTGGGGGCCCAGAGGCAGACTGCCCCAGATATGTGGGCAGGGGTCAGCGGGGCTCTCAGGACACCAGCTGGGGGTGAGGGGAGCATGGAGGGAGCGTGGGACAGGCTGAGCTGCCGAGGGAGCCACCCTGGAGCTCTGGAGCCGGGAGGCCTTGGGAGACATCCCAGGCTGGGTTCTGTCCCCCGATGTGGCAGGCGTTGCACGCAGGCTCGCTGTGGCCTTGGGCGAGGTGGCTTTCTGGGGAGGGCAGTTCCCAGGGAAGGAGGGCCGAGCCCTCGGCAGCCAACACTCGGGTGGCTTGGGACGAAGGCCTCGGTCCTGGTGGGGCCTGGGCGACGCCCCCAGTGCCCACCACGCAGGCCTATGGTTGGTCACGGAGGTGGCCTTCTCCTCCTACCCACTGTCTCTACCTCAGCTTCCAGCAGGTGCCCAGTGCTCACGCCGGCCTCGAGCCTGGACTGGGGGCTGCACCTGCCCCAACACTCTCAATGTGTGGCTGGGGAGTCTGAGGCCCAGAGGCACCCAGCCCATCCCCCCACAGAGCAGGCCTCAGACCTGCTGCCCTGCTGTCTGGCCGAGAGCACCACCCGGGGTGGAGCGGCCGGTGAGCTGAGCCCGGGTCATAAGCCAGGCAGGGGAGCAGGCTTCCTGGGATCCGCCGACCCCGTCCAGCTGCTGCAGGGCCCCATGCCTGCCACAGGATGCCCCTGAGCCTGGGGCATGGCTGTTGCCCTGCAGGGGAGGCCATCTACTGGTGCAGCTGTCCTGCAGCTGGACATGGCTTTGAGATGACCTCTGCAGGGTGGGGTGCAGGGAAAGGCCATCGAAACCTGAGACCCAACACAGGGGAAGGTGGGGAAGGCTGCGGGGCCCAGCTGCACAGCGGGCTGGGACGCAGAGCCAGCCTCCCACCCTGGGCCTGTCCCCTGATCTCCGCCCAGTGTGGACTCCTTTTGGGCACAGCTGAGACCAACCCAGCAGATAAGCGGATTAGCATGGTGCATGCCCCCAGGGTGCACAACTGGCTTTATCAGGGCCCGGATGTTGTCTCAGGTGGAGCTGGGCAGGCTTAGGTGAGGTGGGTGTTCCCAGGTCAGATACGCTCTGCCCAGCTCTCACCCCTCAGCCGGCGCAGGGCCAGGGGCCTGGATCAGGGGTTCGCTCCAGCTGCCTGCTATCTGGCTGCCCGTGGCGGGCTCGGGGCAAGGGTGTGCAGGAGAGCCGGGTCTTGGTGGCTTTGTGCTCCTACCCTGGGTTTCAAAGGCGCTGCCTCCCTTGTTCCTTGTTCATTCACAAAATCCGTGAGCGCCCCAGCATGTGGGACACAGATGAAGGGGCCGGGGGAGGGTTGCCACTGGGCCAGGGCACCGGGAGTGTCCCCACGTGCCATTCGGCCGAGTCCTTGGCAGGGGGAAGCCCTGCTCAGAAACGGAGAAACTGAGTCTTGGGACATTTGCTGTCTCGCTCACTGTCAGAGCCCCCTCCATCCCAAGACAGGCCTGGGCACCTGACAACCGTGCAGGACCGTGACATAAAATATGCCAGGAAATCGGGTGGAGGAAACTCAGACGTGAGGGAATCAGGCTGGCAGAGCCGGGTGGGGAGAGGGTGCTGGCACAGGCAGGGACGCTCTAGGTGCTGGTTTTAGGGGCAGGGCTGCCTGGGAAGCCACCTGAGATGAGAGGGAGAGAGGCCAGGGGGACTTGAAGAAGCCCAGGGTGCTGGGAGAACCTGGGGGCCAAGCAGAGGAGGTGCCTGGGGGCCAGGCCAGGTGGGCACAGACCCACAGCTACCCGGGCCCTCCTCATCTGCCCCACCCCAGAGCCCACCTGCATCCGCCACAGCTGGCCTGGCTTTCTGCCCGACACCTGCCAGGTCAGGGGGCCCCTGCTGGAAGCCACACCCCACTCTGCCCACCTCCCACCTCCTCACTCCCCCTGCCTGAGCTCCTGCCAGCCCTCACGGCGCCCTCCTAACCTCCACTCATCAGAGCCCTGCCCTGTGCCCCAGACTCGGCTGGAGGCACCCCCAGGAAGCCCCTGTGGGAAGCAAGTCCTGGTGTCGGTCCTCACCCCACCCCTCAGGGAGCCACAGGCCCAGCTCCTGGGTGTGTCCCTCTGGGTGGGGGCCTGGGGTCACAGGCTGGCCTGGAGCCATGGAGACAGGGGAGCTGCCTGGCTGTGGGGGAAAGGCAAACACCCTTTTGTCTGTGGCCGCCTCTTCTGCTCGGGGAACTCTGGGGACAAAGCCGGTGGGCCAAGGAGCCCCCGCTGTCTAGACAGCCCTGCCCCACGAGGCAGGCAGGGGAGGGGGCGCCCTGAGCAAACAAGCAGGTACCAGGCGTCCTGAGACTGCGGGGCCAGGCCAGGGTGGGCGAGCGACGAGGCCCGCGGGAGTGGGAGGGGGCGCGGGATGCTGTCCTTAGGGACCCTGGGCCCCAGCCGGGGTTTCTCCCTGGTCTCTCTCCTTCCTTTCTGCTGGCCACCACCTCCAGGAAGCCAGCTGGACCTGACCCTGCCTCCTGAGGGCTCTAGGAACCCACCTCCCAGGTCCAGCCATGCACCAGCCTGTCCTCGTGACCCTCACTGGCCTCAGGGATCCCCCAGTAAGGGGGCAGCGGTGGGGACTCACCTGTGGGGCTTGAGTGAGCCATGCCCAAGACAAGAGGCAGAGCCAGGAGGTGCAGGTGACGCTATGGTCCCCAGCTGCGTGGCGGCTCTCTCCAGGTGTGTGGGCCTCCTGGTCCCTTCGTGGTGTCTGGTGTCACCATGCACAGCTCAGACCCCTGCTGCAGTCCCCAGGGATCCACAGCCGCACCTGCCCTTTCCTCTTGCTTCTCACTGCGCCCCAGCCCCCTGGCGGCTGCTCACCAGCCTTCATGTCCTCACTGACGCCTGCCCTGCACCGGGACCACCCTGTGTTCCCCAGCTGTGCCCAGACCTGATGGAAATTCTCAGCAGCCCAGGCCAGACCCACCTTCCCGCTCTCCTGCCAGCTCTGAACGTTGGGCCCCTGGCACTGTTATTCACATCTTACTCCATCAGTTCCCAGCCCAGCCCCAGCCCCTGCCCCTTCAGATGCAAACCCTGTGAGGGCCAGAGCCTCCCTGGTGTCCTCACCTTCCCACCCATACACTCAGCTCTCCATTTATTCAGGATTAATTCAGCTGTTTGGGGAATAAAGATGTGAAAAAGTTACCATCTTTAACAATCCCCTTGACTGACTTCAGAATAGTGTTCCCTTTCATCCCCTCTGTCCACCTGGGAATGCTTCTGATGCTGCCTGCATTATCAGGAGGGGAAGAGGCCCAGCCAGTCTGCAGTGAACATGCCGTGAAAGCCTGGACTCAACATTTGCTATTTGAAGTTACAGACAGACTTTTAAGTACCTGACTGGATATACCATGTGAACATGCCGTGAAAGCCTGGACTCAACATTTGCTATTTGAAGTTACAGACAGACTTTTAAGTACCTGACTGTATATACCATCCAACCTGGGACCCGGGGATGGGAGAGCCCACGCCCCTGACTGGAGAGTTCCAGAGGCCTGGAAAGAACACCCACAGTAGAAAACCCGCGGAAGAGGGGCCTAGCAAAAGATTCATTAGGTATTATTATTATTATTTTGAGATGGAGTCTCGCTCTGTTGCCCAGGCTGGAGTGCAGTGGCTTGATCTCAGCTCACTGCAAGCTCTACCTCCCGAGTTCACGCCATTCGCCTGCCTCAGCCTCCTGAGTAGCTGGGACTACAGGCGCCTGCCACCACACCTGGCTATTTTTTGTATTTTCTTATAGAGATAGGATTTTGCTATGTTGCCGAGGCTGGTCTCAAACTCCTGGCCTTAAGGGATCTGCCCACCTTGGCCTCCCAAAGTGCTGGGATTACAGGCATGAGCCACCATGCCTGGCCTTCATTAGATATTATTATTATTATTTTTTTAAAAAGTTTCTCCTGAAAGGCAGAGAGAACACATAGTTTTATTTAAAAAATACATTAGAAACAAGTATATTTAGAAAATATATGCTTTTATTATTTATGAATTTAAAAAAACGACTCAATGAAACAAAAAGTGAAAGACGAATAAAAAAGGTAACAGACTGAGAGGAGAGAATCAGCCTGAGGCAGAGATGAGGGGGAACTAGATAATGTAAAGAAACCACGATGGGAGAGTTAATATCTGTACTCAAAACAGTAAAACGGCAAGTAACAAAAAACACCATGTAAAATTGAGTAAGTAATGTGGAAGACAATTAAAGTTCTTTGAGAATAGGAGGGAAAGAACAGAGAGATTAAACTGGTGTGAAAGGCTCCTTCAGTGTTTGGGGACTAGCTCATATCAGAATAACATGCTTGCCCTTCATAATCATAAACTCAAGATGAAATAGAAATGACACCTGTTTTGAAGACTGGTGAGTGGCTGGGCATGGTGGCTCATTCATGTAATCCCAGCACTTTGGGAGGCTGAGGCAGGTGGATCACCTGAGGTCAGGAGTTCGAGACCAGCCTGGCCAACATGGTGAAACCCCATCTGTACTAAAAATACAAAAATTAGCTGGGTGTGGTGGCGCACACCTGTAGTCCCAGCTACTAGGGAGGCTGAGGCACCAGAGTCACATGAACCCAGGAGGCAGAGGTTGCAGTGAGCTGAGATCGCACCACTGCACTCCAATCTGGACAACAGAGTGAGCCTCAGTCACACATACATACACACACACACACACACACACACAACCCAAAACAACAAAAAACCACTGGTGAGAAATCAGAGGCAGGCAGCATCAGAGGGGATGCAAGCCTGGAAAAGGGAAATAAGTGAGGTACGATCCCCATTCAGCTGACTTTCCACTGGAGGGAGCTTCCCTGTTTACAGGAATGTGAGGGAGAGGGTGCCAGCTGACTACAGCTCCTGAGCTGGGCTGAGAAGACTGAGGTCCAAGCTTAAGGTCTCCAGAGGCTGGAAATTAGGAAGGATGTTACAGGAAGAATAGATCCACAAATTTTTGACTGAGTTAAAAGTCACATATAGGATGAGACCTTAAACATCTGAGTGAAAGGAAACAGCTGGAAGGCTGAAAGATAGGGGCATGGGGTCACAGAGTTTGGAGTTCGAGTTGGCCCAGCTAGACCTCCTGGAGAAACACCTTGCTTCCCATTACGACTCTGTAAGAACTGTATGTTAGGAGCAAGGACCATCTGCTAGGACTAAATGCTGTGCCCCAGGAACAAGGGCTAAACTGAAAGAGACCCAGATAATAAAGCCTGAGAAGAATCCTCCTCAGGATCAAGTTGATCCACCAAAAATTTAACCACCTGCTAAACAAAACTTAGCATTCTCCTTCGGAAGATCACAGAATCTAAAGTCTCCACAGTGTATCATACACAATGCACAGTGTACAATAAAAATTACCACAGAGGACAATATAGCCCACAATCAAAGGAACAAACCAACCATCAGAAGCATATCCACAGAGGCCCATATGTTGAAATTAGGAGATAAGTATTTTAAATTAACCATTATAAAAATGTGACATAACATACATTGGAAAATGAATATAATGGAAAAGAGGTGGGGAATGTCAGGAGAGAGATGGAAACTCTAAAACAGAACCAAATGAAAATCTTGAAACTGAAAACAAACAACACAACCAAATATCTGAAATGAAATAGTCATTGAATTGGTTTAACAGAAGCTGGGAAACTACAGAGGAAAAGATCAAGAAACTTGAAGAGAGGTTGATAGAAACAATCCACACTGAAGAACAGACAAAACAGTTTTTTGAAAAAGTCTCAGTGACTGGTGGGATGATATTAAGTTGTCTGAGGAAGGAGAAGAAAGAGAAAAGGGGGTAAAAAATATTAAAGAAAAAATAGCCAAATGTTTTAAAATTTGACTAAAAACATCAACTCTGAATTCCAAGAAGCAAATCTTCAGTGCAATAAATATGAAGAAAACTACACTTACGCATGTAATAGTCAAACTACTGAAAAGAAAAGGTAAAAGAAAATCTTTAAAGCATCCAGGAAGAAAAAGACATAGCACACAGAGGGAATAAATGATAAAATGGTAGCTATAAATGCAGTCATATCAAAATTTAAATTAATGTAAGTGGACTATACACTCCAATTAAAAGACAGACTTTTAGACTGAATCAATGAGCAAGACCCAAAGATATGCTGCTTACAAGAGACATGTTGTGACTATAGACACAGATAAGGTTAAAAGTGAAAGGATGGAAAAATGTATGTCATGCAAGCAGTAATGATAATAAAGCTAGAGTGGTTACATCAATATCAGACAAAGTAGATGTCAAGACAAGGAATATTACCGAGATAAAAGGACATTTTATAATTATAGAAATGACAATTCATTGAGAAAGCACAATATTACTGTGTATACATCTAATAACAAAGCTTCAAAGTATACAAAGCAAAAATAGACAAAACTTAAGGGTGAAACAGGCACAGATTTTAACATCATTTTCTTGATCATTGATAAAGCAAATAAACACTCAGGAAGGCTGTTAGAAGTTCTGAAACCACTATCAACCAACTTGAGCTAATTGACATTTATGGAACCCTAGTCAATGACTGTAGAATACACCATTCTTCAAAAGACCACATGGATTGCTCACCGAAATGGAACAGTGCTGGGCTATAAAACAAGTCTCAATAAACTTCTAAGGATTGAAATAATCAACATATGTTCTCTCACTAAAATACAAATTAGTTAAAAGCAGTAATGATAAGATATTAAGAAAAACCTCAAATATTTAAAAATCAAGAAGCACAATGCATTCCAAACAACCTATGGGTCAAAAAAGTCACATAAGAATTACAACCAACTTCTCATAGAAACAAAGGTGGCCAGAAGATGCCAGAAAGACATCTTTATAGTGTTGAAAGAAAAAAAAAAAAGCCTGTCAGTCAACACTAAAATTTAGGTCTACAGGAAGGAATGAGGAGCACTAGAAATAACAAATATGAGGGTAAGTACAAGTAAAATGTTCTTTTTTAAAAACTTTCTTTAAGGGACTGTTTAAAGCAAAAAATTAATTGTGGAAGTTTATAACACATGGAGTAATTAAAAACATCACACCAAATAGCACCAACAATGGAGAAAAAATGAAATTAGACTGTTCAAAGGTTCATATATATACATATATATACACATATATATACATATATACATATATACACATATATACATATATACACATATACACATATATACATATATACATATATACACATATATACATATATACATATATACACATATATATACATATATACATATATATATACACATATATATATACATATATATATACATATATAATTTTTTTTTTTTTGAGACAGTCTCACTTACTCTGTCACCCAGGCTGGAGTGCAGTGGTGCGATCTTGGCTCACTGCAACCTCCACCTCCTGGGTTCCAGCAATTCTCCTGCCTCAGCCTCCCAAGTAGCTGGGAGTACAGATCTGTGCCACCACGCCTGGCTAATTTTTATATTTTTAGTAGAGATGGGGTTTCACCATGTTGGCCAGGCTGGTCTCGAACTCCTGAACTCAAGTGATCCACATGCCTTGGCCTCCCAAAGTGCTGAGATTACAGGTGTGAGACACTGCACCCGGCCAGGTTCTTACATTTTACGTGATGTGATATAATATTAATTCAAGATAGACTGATAAGGATGCATACTATAACTTTCAGAGAAACTACTAAAAATATAATGATATCTAGATAAAAAGCAAATAGAAGTATTAAAACTGAATATTGAAAATACTTAACTGACCATACTAAGTGTTGGCAAGAATGTGGCACAGCCGGAGCTCTCAGACAGTGCAGACAAGACATAATGTGGTACAATCACTTTGGAAGGCTGCTTGAAAGTTTCTTATGAAATTAAACACATGCTTAGCATAGGACTCAGCAATTCTACTCCTAGACATTTACTCAAAAGAAATGAAAACGTGTGCTTACAAAAAGACTCGCACAAAAATGTTCCTGGCAGCATTATTCGTAACTGTAAAAGACTGGGAAAGGCTCAGGTATTCCTCAAGAGGTGTATGGAATAAATACATTGTGGTATAGCCATATGATGGAATACTATCCAGCAATAACAAGAAACAGTGAAAACACACCACAACATGGGTAAATCTCAAAAACATGATGTGTGAAAAAGGCCAGACACAGAAGAGTTAATATTTTATGACTCCATTTGTCTGAAGTTCCATAATAGACCAAACTAATGTACAGTGACAAGACTCAGACCCATAGTTGCCTGGGTCAGGAATAAGAGTGGGGCCAGGCATGGTGGCTCAGGCCTGTAATCCCAGCACTTTGGGAGGCCAAGGTGGGCAGATCACCTGAGGTCAGGAGTTTGAGACCAGCCTGGCCAACATGGCAAAACCCCATCTCTACTAAAAATACACAAAAAAGTAGCCAGGTGTGGTCGTGGGCACCTCTAGTCCCAGCTACTCAGGAGGCTGAGCCAGGAGAATCACTTGAACCCAAGAGGTGGAGGTTGCAGTGAGCCAAGATGATGCCACTGCACTCCAGCCTGAGCGACAGAGCGAGACTCCATCTTAAAAAACAAAACAAACAAAAAAGAGTAGGGTTGACTGGAAAGGGGCATGAAACTCTTTGGGTGATGGGAACATTTTCTGGCTTGATCGCGGTCATGGTTCCATGGGTGTATACGTTTGCCAACACTCATTGAATACCATCATCCCTTGGCATCTGTTGGGGATTGGTTCCAGGACCTCCTGGAATACCTAGACAGTATTTGCATAAAAACTGTGCACACCGTCCTGTGTACAGTTGGCCCTTGAACAACATGGGGGCCAAGAGTGCCAGCCCCTCATGCAGGTGAAAATCCAAGTATAACTTTTGATTTCCCCCAAACTTAACTACTAATAGCCTCCTGTTGGCTGGAAACCTTACTAACAACATAAACAGTTGGTTAACACATATTTTGTCTGTTATATGTATCATAGACTGTATTCTTATAATAAAGTAAGCTAGAGGAAAGAAAATGTTATTATGAAAATCATAAGGAAGAGAAAATATATTGACTATGTATAAAGTGGAAGTGGGTCATCCCAAACGTCTTCATCCTGGTTGTCTTCTTGTTGAGTAGGCTGAGGAGGAGGAGAAGGAGGAGGAGGGGTTGGTTTCAAAGGTGGCAGAGGTGGAAGAGATGGAGGAGGTGGAAGGGGAGTCGGGAGAGGCAGGCACACTTGGTGCAACTTTCGTGGAAAAAACTCCATGCATAAGAGGACACACACAGTTACAACCCCTGTCATTCAAGGGTTGACTGCACTGTAAGTCATCGCTGGATTACTCATAACACCAAAGACAACACCCACACACCCCTTCATTCCCGTGGATTCAGCGTGGAGCTCGGCTGTGTGACCTCAACGTGTGACCTCAGTGGCAGATTCAGGTTTTGCTTTTTTGGAACATTGTGACTTTTTTTTTCCTGAATATTTTTGATCAGCCGTTGGTTGAGTCAACAGATGCAGAAGCCACAGACATGCATGGCTGGCTGTATTAACTTAAAATGAATTCATCTTAAGCCAGGCATGGCTTATGCCTGTAATCCCAGCACTTCGGGATAATAAGTGCTGGGATTACAGCACTTATTATAAGCCAGGCTCATGCCTGTAATCCCAGCACTTCGGGAGGCTGAGATGGGTGGATCACTTGAGGTCACGAGTTCAAGACCAGCCTGGTGACCATGGCGAAACCCCGTTTCCAATAAAAATACAAAAATTAGCCAGGCGTGGTGGCGCGTGCCTGTAGTCCCAGCTACTCAGGAGGCTGAGGCAGGAGAATCACTTGAACCTGGGAGGCAGAGGTTGCAGTGAGCTGAGATTATGCCACTGCATTCCAGCCTCATGACAGAGCGAGACTCCATCTCAAAAAAAAAAAAAAAAAGAGTTGATTTTATTATGGGTAAATTATATCTCAACAAATTTTATTTCAAAAGAAAACAAGAATATCGATTCACTGAAAGGAAAGCAGGCAAAGAAGATCGAAGGAACAAAGAATGCATGGGTTACACATAAAGCAAAGTGCAAGACGGTGGGCTGAACTTGCCCTACCTGTAAAACAGCAATATTGAAGCGATGATAAAATAAAACATGTCTGAGTCAAAGCAAGACTTCATTTATTCGGCTAGTTGAGAGTCTCTCACGTGTCATTCATCAAGGTGCACAAAACCAGACAAGATCCTTCTTGTCAGTGGGATAAGAGTTTAGTGGGATCATAATATTTCAGTTGTATAATCTCATCAATCAATGGGTAACTGCAGAAGGGAACACATTTCTGTGGGGAAATTCAATACGGGGAGCTGAGCGGGGTGTAGGCAGGGGAGATGGCCTTGCACGGGGTGGCTGGGGGAGGCGGGGGGTGGCTGGGGGAGGGAGGGGGTAGCTGGGGGAGGCGGGGGTGGTGGGAGGAGGCGGGGTGCTCAGACAGAAGCAGCTGCAGGGAAGCCCTGGGGTGGGGGAACAGGCCCTGGAAAACTGCTAAGGCAATCAATTAGAAAGAATATTTCCCATGCATTTTTCCTGCAAACAGAAAGGACTGGAAGACATACATCAGCCCATCAAGATACAATCTCAGCAAAAAACCACAAAAGCGGCAGACAAAACCAAACCTCAAGAAAGGCAAAGTTGTACATTCAGAAGGTCTGGAATGACTGGGTTTAGGGGTCATCCCGGCCATTTGCTGCAATGGCTGCCACAGATTGCAAAGAGCACAGTCAATTCTTGGAGGAGGACAAGGGGAGGTGTCATGTTTACAATCCAGAGTGCACAGCCCAGAACTGAGACCTGGAAAGGAGGGGCCAGCAGGAGGAAGGGAAGGGGTAGTGACGTCTCTTCCACACGCACAAGCAAATCAGGGTCACTCATAGAAACACAGATCCCAGGGTTAAAAGGATGACCTCTATAGTCATGAAAACAGAGTGAAGACCTGCAAGAGGAAACGGCAAAGGGAGCACAAACCCGGCTGCACAAGAACAGACCGGAGAAAGGTCAGGACTCTCAGGCCAGGGACTGAGGAGCCAGCGATAAGCCATGGCAGTAAAGGCTGACTGAATGCCCCTATGAAAAGGAGGCTGGAGATGGGGCTGAAAAGAAAAGAGCACGCCCACAGCCTCACTGCACGTTGTTTGAAAGAGACACAGCTAAAACGAATGCCCCAGCAAAGTTAAAATCGAAAGGCAACATGGCCGGGCACAGTGGCTCACGCCTGTAATTCCAGCACTTTGGGAGGCCAAGGTGGGTTTGAGGTCAGGAGTTTGCGACCAGCCCGGCCAACATGGTGAAACCCCGTCTCTACTAAAAATACAAGAATTAGCCGGGCGTGGTGGCGCGTGCCTATAATCCCAGCTACTCGGGCAGGAGAATTGCTTGAACCTGGGAGGTGGAGGTTGCAGTGAGCTGAGATTGCAGTGAGCTGAGTGCCACTGCACTCCAGCCTGGGTGACAAGAGCACAACTCCATCAACAACAACAACAACAAAAAGCAACAGGATATGAGACAAAAGCCAGCAGAGGCAGAGCTGTGGCCGTAGTATTAATAAATCGAAAGGCGGGGTTAAGATATGAACACCGAACACGACAAAGAGGATCAGTTTGAGTTTATAGAAGAAGCAGAAGAAACAATGGTGATTTATTTTGATTTTTACTCATTAAAAAACATAGTGCTGCTGCTCCCAGATGATGGCATAGCTCTTCTTTTCCCTGTCTTCCTCCTAAGTACAAAGAAGAATCCTGAATATTAGACATGAAAGAAATGTAGGAAGGCTCCGGAAGGTGGAGAGGAGAGGGCAGACCAGTCGGGGACCTCGGGCCCCAGGAAAGACCCATTGCAAGTTCCCTGGGTTTTGCTTTTGCCTCATGGATCCCAGGCCTGGAGCTGGAGAAGCTGGCAGTGTGGACACTTCAACACATGTACACCAAAAAAAGGCCCCACCAGTCCCCGCCTCCTGGAGCCAGCGTGATCAGGAAAGTAGCTGCCCGGCAAAGCAGAAGGCTTTTAGGTGATAACTGCCCTGCTCCAGCTGAACACCACGGAAAACCTGCACTCCACTGGAGCAAAGTCTGGGCAGGGCTGGGCAGGGCTGGGCACCCACCCTGGTGGCTGGAATGAGGCGCCCCAGGTGGCCCCAGGGCTGGTGTCCAAGTGGGCACAGCAGGAGGCTGGGGTCATCCCAGTGGGTGGTTCTGAACCGCTTTCTCTGTGACCAGTGATGGGGATGGTGGAGACCACACGGGGTTAGGGAGCTTGGATTTCCACCCCATCCCTGGTGTTGAAACACTCCTCCTCTTCCCCATGAGGAGTGTCAGAGGAGGCTGAGCCGAGAGTCATGACTTTGACCACTGCTCAGTGTAACAGGGCCCCCTCCATCATGCCCGTGGAGGGAATGAGAGCAGCAACGAGGCGCCATGCCCCTCCCAGCCAGAAGGCATCGGTGAGGGCTCCACCCTGCCCGGCAGGCATGGACAAAACCCCTGGGGTGTTAAGAGAGGGCCGGTGGGGAATGAGCACTTCCACACCACAAGCTGCCCCTTCCCTTCATTAATCTGTGCCAGAGGAAGTCAACGAGAAAGGTTTAAATAAGATCCAGAGTCTCGTAGCAATCTCCAAAATGCCCAGGTTTCAATAACAAATTGCTCATCATCCCAAGACCCAGGAAGATCTCAGACTGAATTCAAAAGGACAATCAGCAGAGGCTGACCCTGAGACAAAGAGGTGTTAGAATGATCTGGAAAGGGTTTTTGAGAAGCCCATAAAGTGCTTCATTTGTGAACAAATTGAAACCAATTTAAAAATAGAAAGTCTCAACAGATAATAGAAAATCCCAGCACAGAAACAGAACACACAAAGACGAACTGAATGGAAATGGTAGAACTGAAAATTACAATAATTGAAGAGATAAAAAACAAAAACAAGACTTCAATGAATGGGCTCAACACAGAGTAGAGGGAGAGTCCAGTGAGAGGAAGAAACAGTGAGCAGGGAGGTACAATAATAGACGTTATCAGACCCATCAGCGAAGAGAAAACAGACTGAACAGGATGAGAGAAACACACAGAGCCTCAGGAACCATAGGGCTAGAACAAGAGACCCAGCATTCCAGGTGTTGGGGTCATGGGAGGAGAGAAAGAGGATGGGGATGGAAAAGAGCTCAAAGACCTAAGGTTGAAAACTCCCCAAACTTGCCAAAACACCCACAGATTCAAGAAGCTCGATGAACCCCTAACAGGATAAACCCAAGAAAATCCACAGCAAAACATCTCGTAGTCAAACTTTTGAAAACTATAAAAACAAAAAATTTTGGAAGTAGCAGGAGAGAAACAACATTTTACATATAAGGGAAAGACAGTTTGAGTGGCATTTGATTCCTCATCAGAAACCCCAAAGGCCAAAAAGAGCACAACATTTTTCAAATGCTGACAGAAAGGAACTGTCAGCCCAGAATGCTATATTCAGTGAAAGTATCCCCGAAGAAGGAAGAGGAAGTTAAGGCATTTTCAGATGAAGGAAAAGTAAGAGAAATTTCCACCAGAAGATGTACCCTGAAAGCTTCAAAATAGTTGAACCAAATCTGATAAAACTGAAAGGAGAAATGCACCCATTTCTAATTATAGCTAGAGACATCAACACCCCTGTCTAAACAATTAATAGAACAACTAGGCAGAAAATCAACAAAGATGTGGAAAAACTTAACACCATCAACCAACAGGACCAACATTTGTAGAGCTCCACCCAACCACAGAACACACATTCTTTTCAAATGTGCACGGAACACATTCCAGGAGAGGCCGTGTCCTGGGCCTGAACACAAACTTTAGCACATTTCACATACTGACATCACACTCCAGCATGTTCTCTGACAACAATGACATCAAATTAGAAATGAACAACAGAAAGTTAACAGGAAAATCTCCAAACATTCAGAAACTAGAGAACAGACCTCCAAATAATCTGTGGGCCAATGAGGAAGTCTCAAGGGAAGTTTTAAAAAACAACAACATTGAACTCAATGAAAACGAAAATGCAACATATCAAAAATTGAGGGACATAGCCAGGCATGGAGACATGCAACTGGGGTCCCAGCTTCTCAGGAGGTTGAGGTGGGAGCATCACTAGAGGCTAGGAGTTTGAATCTAGCCTGGGCAACATAGCAAGACCCTATCTCTGAAAAATAAAAATAAAAAAAATTAGAGAGATACAGTCAAAGCAGTGCTGAGGGAAATTTGTAGCAGTAACAGAACACACTAGAAAAAAGGATGAGTCAAGTCAGTAATCTATGCCACCCACTGAAGAAATGAGAAAAAGAAGCACAGGTTGCACACAGAGCAAACTGAAGGAAGGAAAGAGTAAAGACCTCAGTGAAACCGAAAGCAGGGAGACAGTGGCAGAAAGAAAAATACCAATAACACGGACAAGGCTCTAGCATTACAGCAAGAAACAAGAGCAAAGACACAAATGACCAAGGACAGGACTAAAACAGGAGCAATCACTACAGACCCTGCAGATATCATGAGGGTGACAAGGGGCTGTGGCACACAACTCTGCACACAGAACTTTGGCACCTTAGATGAAATATGCCAGTTCCTCAAAAAGCACAAGTGATCACAACTCAGCTAACACAAATAGATAACTGGGCAGCCCAATAAATGGTTGAGAACATTGAATTTATAATTTTAAACTCCAAAAGAAGAAATTCCGGGCTCAGATGAGTTCAGCGGTGAATTCTGTAAAAACTTTAAAGAAGAATTAACACCAATCATACATAATTCTTCCAGAATGTAGAAGAGGAGGGCGTCTGTATGACCCAGATACTGAAATCATACAGGCAGGAGAAAAACAAAGCAAATCCAAACCAGAACTATGGACCAACACCCCTCATGAAGATGGATACAGACTCTAACAAAATAACAGCAAAGAGAATTCAGTGCTATATGGAGCATTATCCATCTTAACCAAGAGGGATCTATTCCAGAAATGCAAGGTGGCCAGGTCAATATTTAAAAAATTAATGCAACCAGCCATATTAACAGGCCAAAGAAGAAAAATTGCACAAGCCTATCAATCAGAGCAGCAAAAACATTTGAAAAGACTCAACATTCATTCTTATAAATTCTCAAAAAATAAGAATACAGGGAATTTCCTCAATGAGATAGAGAACAGCTACAAAAAAAGGAAACCAAAAAGCAAAAACCACTCCTGCTAACATTGTACCTAATGGTGAAGGCTGAGTTCTTCCTGTCTGACACTGGGAGCACGGTGAGGGTGTCCCCTCTCATCGCTCTTATTCAACGTACTGCTGGGAGTTCTGCCAGTGCAATAAAGCAAGAAAAGGAAATAAAAGGCAATTCGTTTGGAAGAAATAAAGCCGTCCCTATTTTTAAGTGACATGATTGTCTATATAGAAAATTCCAAAGATACTGAAATTTAAAAAAATCCAAGACTAATGTCTGTGCAGAAAGGTCAAAGGATACAGGATAAACACACAACAATGAATAGTATTTCTATTTAGTAGCAATGACCATGACTTCATCGACTTTAAAAATATACCACCATTCTCAATCACGCAAATAACTTGAAACATGTAGGCGTAAATCTAACCAAACGTGGAGGACTTGTGTGCTTAAAACTACAAAATGCCGATGAAAGAAATCTTTCTTTTTTTTCATTTAGAATCCATTTTTATTCCCACAAACAGTTCTGAAAAATATTAGAATTGGCAAATGGTTTACCATGAATGGAAAAAAAAAACCCATTGATTTTCCTTTTTTCTTTTTTTTTGCTTAAATAATTTTATTATTTTTATTTTATTTTTCCATAAGTTACTGGGTTGTATTTGGGTATATGAGTAAGTTCTTTAGTGGTGATTTGTGAGATTTTGGTGCACCCATTACCTGAGCAGTATACACTGCACCATATTTTTTGTCTTTTATCCCTCACCCCCTCCCACTCTTCCCCCCAAGTCCCCAAAGTCCATTATATCATTCTTATGCCTTTGCATCCTCATAGCTTAGCTCCCGCATATCAGTGAGAACATATGATGTTTGGTTTTCCATTCCTGAGTGACTTCACTTAGAATAATAGTCTCCAATCTCATCCAGGTCACTGCAAAAGCTGTTAATTCATTCCATTTTATGACTGAGTAGTATTCCATCAGATCTATATCTATATGTATATCTATACCTATATCTATATCTATATACCATCACAGAGCAGGTAAACCTGTAGGGGTGCAAAACAGATATGTGGTGGCTGGAGACTGGGAGAGGGGACGGGGTTGGCTGTACAGGGCACGGGGGACCTCGTGGGGTGACCGAGCGACTGTCTCTGAGTGTGGTGATGGTTACCTGACTGTGTGTTCATCACAGCTCCCAGAACTGTAACCCTAACAGGAGTGGATCTTACTGTATGCAAATTATATCTTAATAAAAAATGAAAGATATATGTAAAGTTGATGTCGGAAAAAGTGCAGAGAAATTTTAAAAAGTTCAGTTATAGTATCTTACTCCATGACAGATAGAGTAGGCAAGAGGTGGAGAGAAGATTTGAATTATGTAATTAATAAGATTTATTTACACATTTATTTCAAACTTTGTTCTCTAATACAGATAATACTCCTTCATCTTAGGCATCCATAGAATAGTTACAAAAATTAATCTTTTTTACATGTATTTTTTATTTTCAAGGTATAATTTGCATACAGTAAAATTCACTCTTGTTAGTGTGTAATTCTGTCCAATTTGTTGTCTACGGAATTGGCTGCAGTTTTCTCTGGGGCCTAATGTGAGATTAATTTTTGTGGCTATGGTCTCTAACAAAATACAACTGAAAATTGATAACAAACATGTGAATAAGACAAAAGAGGCTGGGCACAGTGGTTCACGCCTGTAATCCCAGCACTTCGGGAGGCCGAGGCGGGCGGATCACGAGGTCAGGAGATCGAGACCATCCTGGCTAACACGGTGAAACCCTGTCTCTACTAAAAATACAAAAAATTAGGTGGGCGCGGTGGTGGGCGCCTGTAGTCCCAGCTACTCGGGAGGCTGAGGAAGGAGAATGGCATGAACTCGGGAGGCAGAGGTTGCAGTGAGCCGAGATCGGGCCACTGCACTCCAGCCTGGGCGACAGAGCGAGACTCCGTCTCAAAAAAAAAAAAAAAAAAAAAGACAAACAGCCTAAGCGGCTGGGGGTGGACACGGCAGGGCTGTCTCTGGCCTCTTTCCTGTCTCTGGCGTCTCTCCTCTCCCCTCCCCTGGACCCTCCTTATTCTGCAAAACGGGCCATGGGCACTTTCTGGGAAACGTCACTTTGCTCAAACCGTGTTTGCAGATCCAGGACCCCTTAAGAGATGTTACTTTGCATAAAGTGTTTGCCACTTAGGTTTTCCCTAAGGGATGTTATGTGTTTAAGCTGCCATTAAGGTGCAGAGTGGTAAACCTGTTACAGTCACGTGTGGTCCGCAATTGCCACCAAGACCATCCTGGCTGTGTGGAGCCGGGCTGCTGCCGTGGCAAAGGATCACAGCCCTGTGGCTGAGCACAGCACGCTCACGCCGTGCGGTCCGGGGGTGCCAAGTCTCCAGGGAGCTCGCAGGACTGCGTTCCTTCCAGAGGCTCCAGGGGAGGGTTCACGTCCTCGCCTCTTCCCGCTCTGGAGGCCGCGTCTCTTCCCCGGCGGACCGTCCTCTACCTGCAGAGCCATCGGGAGCCTCTGCTCTCCCCGACTGCCTCCCTCTCCTCCCGCTGTCTCTGTCTGCCTGACCTCTTTCTCTGACCCTCTTGCTTCTTTCACAAGAGCCCTTGTGGTTACTTCGGGCCCATCCAGATAATCCAGGACAACCTCCCCACCCAAGGCCCATCACTCTGTCCACCAGGTCCCTTCCCCCATGGCTCCAGGGTTTAGAATGCGGGCATCTCTGGGGCCATCATTCAGGCTAATGCTGTCAGTATATTAAAAACTGCATTTCTATATGCTAGCAACAAACTAGTAGAAAAGAGCATCAAAAAACTGCTACTGCCTAGAAATAAATTTAACAAAATGTCCCCATGACCTCTACACTAAAAACTGCAAAGAATTGCAGAAATTCAAAAGGACCAAAATATGTGGAGATGTATTAATATAGTTGAAGACTCAATATTGTTAAAATGTCATTTTCCTCCAAACTGATCGGTAAATTCAATCCCAATAAAAAATCCAGTTTTTTTTGGGTGGACATTGACAAGCGCCTTCTAAAATTTATACGGCCATGGAAAAGACCTGGGATAGCCATGACGATCTTGACGAAGCAGAAAAAAACATTTCCAAGACTTAGAATGAAGCTCTTAGTCGAGACGGAGTGACATTGATATAAACTTAGACATTCAGATTAATGAGACGAACTGAGAGCACAGAAATAGGCTGTCACCTGTACCGGGCAAACACACCGAGGAAAACCAAGAGTGCCAGTGTGTGTGTGTGTGTGTGTGTGTGTGTGTGTTCACAGGGTTATGTGTCTGTATGTGTATGTATTTGTAGGCTTGTGTATGTGTTTCTGTGTTTGTGTGTTTGCAGGGTTCTATATGTGTTTGCATGTGTGTGTATGCAGGTTGTGAGTATGTGCTTGCGTGTTTGTGTGTTTGAATGGTTGCATGTGTTTGCATGTGCGTGTGTTTGCAGGGTTCTGTGTGTGCACATCTGCTTGTTTGCATGTGTGTTTGCAGGGTTGTGTCTCTGTTTGCATGTGTGTGTGTTTGTGTATGTATTTGCAGGGTTGTGTGTGTGTCTGTTTGCATGTGTGTGTTTGCAGAGTTATGTATGTGTGTTTCCATGTTTGTGTGTTTGCAAGGTTCTGTGTGTGTTTGCATGTATGTGTATGCAGGTGTGTGTGGGCTTGTGTGTTTGCATGGTTGTGTGCGTGTTTGTGTGTGTGCTTGCATGTTGTGTGTGCTTTGTGTGTGTGCTTGCATGGTGTGTGTGCTTGATGTGTGTGTGCGCTTGTGTGTGTGTGTTTGCATGGTACGTGTGTGTGCTTGTGTGTGTGTTTGCATGGTATGTGTGTGTGCTTGCATAGTGTGTGTGTGCTTGCATTGTGTGTGTGTGCTTTGTGTGTGTGCTTACATGGTGTGTGTGTGCTTTGTGTGTGTGCTTGCATGGTGTGTGTGTGTGTTTGCATGGTGTGTATGTGCGTGTGTGTGTGTTTGCATGGCATGTGTGTGTGCTTGTGTGTGTGTGCTTGCATGGTGTGTGTGTGCCTGTGTGTGTGTGCTTGCGTGGTGTGTGTGTGTTTGCATGGCGTGTGTGTGTGCTTGTGTGTGTGTGCTTGCATGGCGTGTGTGTGTTTGCATGGTGTGTGTGTGCTTGCATGGCGTGTGTGCTTGTGTGTGTGTGCTTGCATGGTGTGTGTGTGTGTTTGCATGGTGTGTGTGCGCTTGTGTGTGTGTGTTTGCATGGTGTGTGTGTGCTTGCATGGTGTGTGTGTGCTTGTGTGTGTGTGTTTGCATGGTGTGTGTGCTTGTGTGTGTGTGTTTGCATGGTGTGTGTGTGTTTGTGTGTGTGTGTTTGCATGGAGTGTGTGTGTGTTTGCATGGTGTGTGTGTGTTTGCATGGTGTGTGTGCGCTTGTGTGTGTTGTTTGCATGGAGTGTGTGTGTGTTTGCATGGTGTGTGTGTGTGGACTGCTACTGCTGCCATGTCGCTGCAGTTCAATGGGTTTGTGCGTTGTGATCACACGGTCCTGCCCACAGAGCTGAATGGGCTATTGGGGTTTCCTTGGGTGAGTCCCAGGCTGTGTGTGGGGTGAGTGTGGGGCCTTTCTTGCACCGTTTAGCCTGGCACGCGTTGCCCTCTCTCTCTCTCCCAGGACCACATTCAGGTGCCAGGGCCTTTAATCCTGTGTCCCTTGTCCTACTTACTCCCTCTCCCCAGACTGTGGGACAGGCACCTGGGGCGCACTGTGGGGGCTCTGAGATGCAGGTGGGTGGGCCAGGCCTGCCGAGGGGAGGTGAGGCGAGCAGAGCCCTTTGAGGGTGATGGAGCTTGGCTGGCCCCATGGCCCGAACCCACCTGGCCTAGGGGCGTGGCTCAGAGCAGGTGCACACAGGGCTTATTCACCTGTGCATTCTTCAAACAGTCCAGGTGTGAGTGTGAGGCTGTGAACACACCGGGGGTGTGTCTGCCAGGTGGGGCCCTGGACGGGGTGGCCCCCAGCACCTCTGGGTTTCCAGCCCCCAAAAGTGGGTGTCTCTGGGCCCACCTGCTCCTGGAGCTGGGCTCGCACTGACCCTGGGAAGACAGCCTCCCCTGGGCATTTTGGGGACGCTGGGCCCAGCCCATGCCTCGTGGCTCAGCTTCCCTCAGCCAATACTTTCGAGACATGTATTTCGAGACATCCCTGGAGACATGGCCAGTATATTTGTATTTTATATGAACCCGGAAGGCTGGACCTGAAGAGGCCCCCTGGGTGAGGGGGCCAGGCTGAGCTCGAGTTCCCCAGGGCCTCCAGCAAGAAAGGCACCCAATGCCTCCTTACAGGAGGAGCAGGCGCATGTCCACAGAAGATCTGAAAAGACCCCATCAAAATATTCGTGGGTGTCTTCTCAAGACGAGGGGGGCAATTTTCGCTTTACATTTTGTTCCAATTTTTTATTGTTGTAAAAAACACATAACATAAAGTTGACGTTTTTTGCCACTGCTGGGTGCACAGTGCAGTGCTGTTAGGACATTCACACTGCCGTGCGGCCCGCAGAGCCACCATCTCCAGAACATCTTCGTCTTGCAGAACTGAAGCTCTGTCTTGTTAAACACCAGGTCCCCACTCCCCGTGCCCAGCCCCTGCCCAGCCCTGGCGGCCACCATCTGCTTTCTGTGTGTGTGGATTTGGCGGCCCCAGCCGCTGGTGTAGTGGAACCACGTGGCGTTTGCCCTTCCGTGGATGGCTTGTCTCTCCAAGCCAATGTCCTTGGATCCGCCTACACTGCCGCCTATGCCAGGGCCTCCTTCCTTTTGGGGGCTGCTTGGTGCTCCCCGGCACAATGGGCCTCACCTTGTTTTCCCCCAGATTCGTGGACAGACACCAGGCTGCTTCCACCTCTTGGCTGTGGTCAACAAGACTGCTGACCCTGCTTTCAATTCTTTGTGATTTTGCACTGAGAAAAATACCTTTTAAATGCACGGTCAGAATTTGGTGGACGACACCCCACCCTGCGTATGCATTTGGTGGACGCCCCACCCTGCGCATGCATTTGGTGGACGCCCCACCCTGCGTATGCATTTGGTGGATGACGCCCCACCCTGTGTTGATGCCCCTCTGTCCTCCCAGGGGTCAGAGGTGCTAACCTGTGCCCCAATGCCCTGGTTGGTCTGGGCCCCTGGAAACCACAGCGAGGGCAGCACGCTCTGGCTGGTCCTCTCCCCGAGGCCGACCCGGATGGGGATC